>NC_000022.11:34164109-34315624 GCF_000001405.40 Homo sapiens | reverse complement strand
TCCAAATTTTCCCTCATCTTCCTATCTTCTTCTGATTCCGCCAAACTGTTCCAACGTCTGCCCATTACCCAGTTCCAAAGTCACTTCCACGTTTTCAGGTATCTTTATAGCAATGCTCTGCTTCTCAAATACCAATTTTCTGTGTTAGATCATTCTCACATTACTATACGGAACTACCTGAGACTGTGCAATTTATGAAGGAAAGAGATTTAATTGACTCACAGCTCTACAGACAGTACAGGAAGCATGGCATGGAGGCCTCAGGAAACTGGTAATTATGGCAGAAGGCAGAGGAGAAGCCAGCACATCTTATCATGGCAGAGCAGGAGAGAGCAGAAGGGAAGTGCTACACACTTTGAAACATCCAGATCTCATAAGAACTCACTATCACGAGAACAGCAAGGGGAAAATCTTCCTCCATAATCCAAACACCTCCCACCAGGTACTTCCCCCAAGACTGGGGATTACAATTCAACATGAGATTTGGGGGGGCGGAGGGGGGCAGAGAGCCAAACCATATCACCATATCACAAGTCTTATCTTGTAATAATATTACACTCATTTACAATTAAATAATCACATATTTAACTCTCTGTTCAGCACCTATGCTGTGCCAGGAAATGGGGATTCAGGGCCAAAGTTAAAGTGGACCCCAGTGTTGTTGTTCAATATTAATCAAATGATCACTCAACTATTTGCTTAGTAACTGTGTTGGTCAGGAGTGCAGATAGGAAGAAGTGACAATTAAGAAGACATGGATATGCCATCCCAAAATATGCTGAATTGGTGTCTTGATTACTCCAAGCTGAAAATATTGGAGAAATTATAGTTTCAGAAAAGGAGAGCTGATCTGTCCTTTTCTACATGTAGCAAGCCATAAATATTACTCCAGGAGGGATACTTTCCCCATACCAGGGTGAGAAAATAGCCTTCATCACCAGAAGAATGGGAGTTCAGGCTACAATGGGCCAGAATCAACTTCCTCCTAAGTAACACTTATTTTCCACTAGTTTTACACCCCTTTATGTCTCCTAGTGGTTCCCCTAGAACTTATTGCTCCTAGCCAGATCCCCTTTGTCCTGTCATTTCTTCACAAATCTGTTATTCTTTGTCTAAAATGTATAAAAGCATCTTGCTTGGCCATTTTGTTGGGACTTCACTCACTTACGCAGTGCCCCACGTACATGTAAATATATAAACTTGCATACCTTTCTCTGTTAATCTGTGTGGTGTCAACTTTGTTCCTAGACCCAGCTGAAGAGCTAACACAAGAGCTAAGGAGGATTGAAGGTGATCTCTCCTTCCCCTACAAACTGCAGAATGAGGGAGTGATGTGGTGGGGAAGGCTATTCGATGGATCAGATAGCCTAGGATGAGGCTGCTTTGGGGTGGATGAGAAAGGGGAAGAATTACAATAGGGCACCAGAAATCATGAATCTACCTGGCAGCTCCTGCTCAAATATTGTAGGTATGTGAAAGTTTTTTCTAGTTTCATTTGTTGGATTAAAAAAAAAGAGAGAGAAACCATCTAGTAGCAAGTTTTTTTTGTTTTGTTTTGTTTTTGGCATACTACATGCCATGCACTGCTCTAAAACTAAAGGCATTTTTCTCATTTAATCTTCACACTTATTTTTGATGTAATTTTATATTCCCCATTGTACAGACATGGAAACTGAAGCCAAAACAGTTAAGTAAACTTCACAAGGTCACCCCGCTAGTGAGTGAGTAGCCAAGGATGCAAAGGATTCTTGTGTTTTGTGGAAGCAGCAGCCATCATTTGTCTTGGACCTTACCTCTGGTAGCAAATCTACTATTAGCTCAGGGAGTTCCCACTTAGATGTAATGAAGCCAAAAGACTCCTCAGAGAATGCTTCTTTCCTGAGACCACAGTTTTTGGCCCTGACCTTGTCCAGCCAACATTTTGAGAAATGTCCACCCAAGGAGCCTACAGAAGCCCGGAAACGGCATGAGGAAGTATGTATAGTAACATGTCGGGGGAATCCTGCGTATTCAGCACAATGTCACCCAAGGAAAACATCAGTGTAGCAAGCATAACTTTACTCCACAAAATTCAGGTTGAAAAATGTTCAGGAAATTTTCTTTTTCTGAATCAATTGGAATCTGGCTTCTAGGACCATGAGTGGGTAGATCATTCCTCTCCCTAAGGTCACCAGGGAGCTCAGAGACAGAATTAGTACAGAAAATGTTTCGAGTAGGTCTATTCTTTCTTCCGTGCAGGCCTGCTCTCCCCAGCTCCTTGTACAGCAGCATGGGCCTCTCTCCCCAGCCCTAAAGCTCACCTTTGCCAAGAACAAAGGCTCATTCATTCTCTCCTGGGACAAGTGAAATTCATATCTCCATCTGCTGGGTGGTAGAAGTAAAATAATACACCACTTGGTTCTTTACTGATGAGTTGAGGGGAGAATGAAACTAGTCTGTGTGTGTGTGTGTGTGTGTGTGTGTGTGTGTGTGTGTGTGTGTGAGAGAGAGAGAGAGACAGAGACAGAGACAGAGACAGAGAGAGAGAGAGAACAAAACACTAACCAGAAGAGAATACTCCAAATATAAATACCAATCACTGCTATATATTAGGATTTGGGGTTTTTCTTTCCTTTTTTATACTTTTTTCTATTTTCTTTTTTTTTTAATTGACTTGTATTGCTGCCACAGTCAGAAAGGAAACAAAACGAGTTGTTTCTCTCTCTCTCCCCCCATCCCCACCCCTCTTGTCATTACGCAGGCCTATATAATTGCATGATGCCTTTACTGAATACAACCTCCTGGAATTCCCTTGCAGTATAAGCTGAATTTTTCTTTCCTTCTGTCTAACTGCTACTATGGGCTACTATTATTATCACCAGCTTTTCTCTTGTCTCTCCAGAAAAATAGGAGCTCACAAAATGAACCCTTTCATTTTACATTCTGCAAGTAGGTCTATGGCTAATGACTCTGACCCACAACTGGAGTACAGAATTAAAAGGGAATTTCTTGCGGCCACATGAGTCTCAATTAGGCCAAAAGGAAGGAGAGTGGCCATTGGGACAGACATATCTTAGATGCCCCCGTGCTAGCTCTGCAATTTCGTCTGTTTTGACAAGAGTAATTTAGTTCTAATTACCAACAATAATTATTTCTCAGCCCACAGTGGGAAGCTGTCAGGTTTGTAGCTGTGGTGGATTCCAAGGGGCTCTATTTTGGCTGTGTTTTTGTTTGAAACAATTTGAACCCTGGGCTCTCTTTTAAGAATGACTATGCCTGGAGATGAAGGGGAGAAGGGGAGGAGGAATTCCAGGCAGGAGGAAAATAGCCGAGGGAAACCAGGCCCACAGAGCCTCAGGGCCAGGAGACCCACTTCTGCCTCTAACTTGCTGTGCAAATGTGGACCTCTTTAAGCCTCTGTTTTCTCATTTGTAAAATGGCGGTAACACATACTTGTTCTGAAGAAAGAACAGAAAGTTCCAGAAGAGAAGGCCTTTTTGAGCTTTGACCTCCCAGCACTCTTTCTAGCTTCTTCTCGGGTCACTCTACTTCCATTCCCTTCTAAGACCTTCCTCCTCCTGGATTATGGGTTCAAGTGCCTCAGCAGGCAGCCCTCAACTGGCCCAGGTGGACCCCAGGCAGTCAGCGTGCACAGCTCCCAGCTCCTGAGCTCTCAGGGACAGACTATGTGAGTGAGCATTCTGTTACCAGAGCCAGTGGAAACTGTACACCTACTAAGGGGAGGCCACAAAAGGAAACCAAAATATCAAGTTTTTCCTACATTAAAAAAATTGTTAATTCACAACAATTGTGTATATTTATGGAGTACAATGTCACGCTTTCATCTAGTTACACATTATAGAAAGATTCAATCAACCTAATTAACATATCCATTGCCTCACCAATTATTTGTGGTGTGAACATTAAACATCTCTTTAGCACTTTTGAAATATACATTATTATTAACTGTGGTCACCATGCCACGCAATAAATCACTAAAAGTTACTCCTCCAGTCTAATTGAAGCTTTGTGCCCTTTAATGAACATCTTCCCTTTCTCTATCTTTCCCTGCTACCCAGCCTCCGGTTACCACCTGCCTACTCTGTTTCTATGAGATTGACTTTTTTTTTAAACTTAGGACTCAAATTATATTCATTCAGCATAGGAAATGAATGAATTTCCTATTCCGACTGACCAATTCATGCTCGTCGGAAGGTCTTTTTTACAAAGCATGAGTACAAATTAATCATTGTGTCACAGATGCACTATTTTAGACATGATCTTCCAAAACATTAGATCCACAGGATGGGGGTCGGGAGACAGGGCTGCTTGAGTATTCACATGATGAAATCCTAACTAATTCCCTTCTGGTTCTCACAATTTCTGAGCATCATGTGGAAACCTTAAGCCTCTTGATAGGCAGAGGATAGTATTTAGGATTTGGGAGTGTAGTTCAACAAACCTGACACCACAGGGCATTGACACGTGAAGAGACTAAGTAGAGGTGACACTCTCCTGGCCTCTGTCCATGAGTTTTTTCATGCCTTACAAAAACCTGTGAGGTAGGATTATTATCCACATTTTACAGATGAGAAAACTGAGGCTTGGAGAGGTGACATAACCTCTACAACATTGCCCATCAGAGAGCAGTACAGTCAAGGTTTGCAGGAGAGCTTGAGAACTTTAAATGCAGCCCCACCCACCACCAGGCACAGCTCTGACCGGGCTCGGAAGCGGCAGCTGCAGCCACAGTTTCCTAGTCCTTGGATATCAGCTTAGCTGTTTTGTTGCTGGAGCCAATAGTTTCCAGGGTTGGAGCTTCTTGATTTCCTGCCTTCTTGGTTGTGGCAGAAGCAGCAGCTGCAGGGGCAAGTTGGTTCTGCAGTGTTGTTCTGGGGTATTCTGAGCCACAAGTTGATGGCCTTTCTTCTAACCTTTCCAAAGGTTTTGAAAGACCCCAATGCTCTGTTTAAAATACTTCTTGTTGGTCGGGCGCGGTGGCTCACGCCTGTAATCCCAGCACTTTGGGAGGCCGAGGCGGGTGGATCACGAGGTCAGGAGATCGAGATCATCCTGGCTAACATGGTGAAACCCCGTCTCTACTGAAAATACAAAAAATTAGCTGGGCGTGACGGTGGGCGCCTGTAGTCCCAGCTACACAGGAGGCTGAGGCAGGAGAATGGCGTGAACCCAGGAGGCGGAGCTTGCAGTGAGCGGAGATCGCACCACTGCACTCCAGCCTGGGCAACAGAGCAAGACTCCGTCTCAAGGAAAAAAAAAAATTCTTCTTGTTAAAAGCATCTAAAACTGTTTCTGTTAACTGCAACTGATTCCTGATTGGTCAACACCCAACTTCACCTCCCATACACATTCTTCTTTCTCAGGAAGATGAGGAAAGAAATACCCAAAGTGACTAAGCACAAAGCAGAACTCTTCCTTGGGGTTTATTTTCATTTCTTTTTCCCACTGAGTTCCATTTTCTCACCATGGGATAGCTGTGACTTGGATGAGTTTGGGGCTGTTGATTTTACCTCTTCCTTCTACTTTGACGCAGGATTGCTCACAGCACACATTTATTTAAGGAGCAGGAAGAATCTTCTTTCTTAGGCACCTTCTAATTATAAATTAGCATCTAGGAAGCCCTTGCACATTTACTAAGGGCTTAGCAAAAATATTTTATTAGCTGTTCCTCCTGCTACCATTCTGGGCTCTGGATAGGACCTCAGAACCCATCTGGGGAGAGGCTACAAACCTGTGAGACCTGAGTAAGGAGAAGCACATTCTAGAATCCAGAGATAGTTCTGGCCCCATCTTCATTTCCTCCCTGCTGAAGGCAGCATCATTCCCTGGAGCACTCAGGCCTAAGTTAAGCATTTCATATTTCCTTCTTAGTACTATGTAACCATGGACATTTATTTAAGTATTCAATGCCATTGTTTCCTTGACTATGAAACTAGAAATAAAATAGTTCCTACTTTCTAAAATTATTATAAGAATGAAATGAAATGATGTGTATACTTCACTCAGAACACGTCCAAGCAAAAGTAAGTTCTATATAAACACTTGCTGTTACTATTATTAATTTATGAGGTAGGTATTATTTCTCTGTTTTACATTTGAAGAATCTAAGGCTCAGAGAAGTGAAGTAACTTTCCTAAAGTTTCTGCTGTCATTTCCTGTCTGGCCTGACAAAATACCAGTTCTATTTTCTGGCCCAGCTTAAATTCACCCTTCTCTGTGATAGTCATGCACATGCATGTGTGCGTGCACACACACACGCACATGTATACACTCTCCAGGTTAGATACATTTGTAATATTTCCCTTCACTCTATTTTATGTAACTTGTAAGACTCAACACATTTTGCCATATACTTTTAACAAGGGTACCAATATCTACTTCTTTAAAAATTTCAAGAGTTTAAAAAAGAGAGAGCCTTTAAGCCAGTGTTGAATGCCCCAGAAGCTACTAACACAGTGCTTTCCATATTAATTATAATATTCATAATGTGATATGGATTTGTGGTTTATACAACCCTCACCTTGAGTCCCATCGAGTTCCTACCACCTCCCTATGAATTACACATTATTCTCCACAACTTACAATAAAGAAACAAAGGCAAGGGAGGGCACATCACATAGTCTATGAGACACAGAGCTAGGGTTTGAACCCAAGCCTGGTGCCAGAGCACATGGCTCTTTAATACACTGCTGTACCTTCAATAAGAAGCCTTAATACAGAACGGGATGGGATGGGATGGGATGGGGTGGAGTGGGATGGGATGGGGTGGAGTGGGATGGGATGGGGTGGAGTGAGATGGAGTGGGGTGGAGTGGGATGGGGTGGAGTGGAGTGGAGTGGGGTGGAGTGGGGTAGAGTGGGGTGGAGTGGAGTGGAGTGGCATAAAACGGATTAGAAAAACAGAACACAGTGAGGAGAAGGAAGGAGAGAATGGCGTGTGTCAGGAGAATAGCACACATTATCAGAGGAAAAAAGTAGGAAAAACAGTACAACGTGATCACTGCATCACATTTTTACAATAAAGCCACTTGTCCATTCCTTTTCTTCAAGGCAGTTCTGAGTATGAAAATGAGGGGAAAAAAGCCAAGAGAATGTTGAGGAAAAAACAGCGCTCCTTAGAAACACAAAGTATTGTTCATCTTGTCCCACTGATGAGGGAAATGACAAGGCTGGGTGCTCCCCCTTTCAGAATGTCCTGACCTAGCTATGCTGACATCAAGATCATTGAGAACAAGCAGATATTTCCTCTTCTTTCATCAAATGCAAAATTTATTTCTCCTTCTCTCTAGCAAGCTGATAAATGACAGAACAGAAGAGGACTAGATCTACCAGGCTCAGGTCCAGCTGAAAAGGACTGGTTCCAGAGGTGAGCTTGGGCCAAGTTTCTGACAGGTCATTAATCCCAATGGGGCAGCAGGCATGGAGGGCCATGCAAAAATCCAGGCCATAGTTACGGTCAGCAGCTGGGTGCCCAGAAATAAGGTAGCGAGGACCCGCTTCACAAGAATAAGTTTTATATCAGGATTCCATTTTTTAATGAATTTTGTGCAGAAAAAAATGGGTACCCTTTCCACAGACAAAATACTGTGTCACAGCTAGGAACTAAGATACAAAGAAACGTCTTGGTCACATCAACTATTCAAAGGCCCAGATGCAAGTCTAGGAGCAAAATCTCTTGCATGCCAAGTCACTGAATCTCCTCACTGGCAGCTGTACACTCATTAGGACTGACCAGGCTGCTCTGCCGGGTGAAAGTCAAGAGGTTCCATCTACAGGTACTCTGGGCCCTCTCCCCCTGGCCCTATCTGATTTCAAAGCAAGTTAAGGTCCCAGCTAAAATAATGGAAATTATGTATATTATGATTTGGAGTCTTAGAATGCCAGCCTAAACTATGGACCCATTGTCTATTGAAATGTTCCAGACTCTGAGAAAAAAAAAAAAAAAAAAAAAGATTAAACATGTGGTGTGATGAGGGACCAAGGCCACTCATTAATTCACTATTTTTCATTTATCAAACATGACAAATGAAAGACTGTTTCTGCTTTGAAGGTGCTCACACAAGACAGACATGTAAATAAATTACTATGTACTTTGAGTAAAGTGTCATGCCAGAGGCAAGCACATGTTACCTCGAGTTTACTGTGAAAGCTCAGAGGAGGAGCATCTTAATCAGACTTGGGAGAGGGCAGGCTTCCAGGAAGAGATGAGGCTTAGCTCAAATATTGTAAGATAAGAATGAGTCCACTGGATAATTGAAATAGAGAACATCTTGGAAAATACTTAGTTTACTCAGTATATATTTGCAGAGATCATATCAGGTACCAGACACTCTGCTAAGGACCAGGATATGGCAGTGAACAAATACACATGGTCCCTGGTTTCATGGAAATTGCACCTACGTACCTCACACCATAGACACTATATAAACTCTCAGTTGGTATCTCTGATAGGAAGAGAAATTTGAAAGAGATTTATCTCATAGAAGGTTGTTGCAAGAGGGTCAAAATGAATGAGGGTCAAGGAAAATCCAGAATTGAGCCTGGTATGTATACAACTAATGGCTTGGAGCCAAAGTCCCAGAGAACAGGATGGTGTGATAGGTAGCAGGTCAATAATCCAAGAAGATGGTCATATGCAATAGCCACATTGCTGAGTCTTTTGGTAGGTACCAAATCTTCATAACCTAGTGAGAGAAGGCAATGCAGGTATAATGGAAGGTGAATCCCCAGGTTCATCCTCCAAGTGAATACTTGGAGCAGAAGATGGATGTTAAGGAGGCTGAGCATTATCTCACTTCAGCAACCAAGAGGCAGGGAGGTAGAGAGAGGGTGACCCTTCAACTACAGAAGCCACCTGGTGTCTTGTATCAAGTACGGAGGAATAGTAGGTGCCAGGAAATGGGAGGGAATGATGGGCCCAGCCATTGGTAAGTCCCTGTGAGCCACTCCATGGACTCCTGAAGAGAAGGATAGAGGGATCTGGGAGGGTTGGAATCCTGAGGACTCCATGGTAGGAACTGAGCCAGGGTAAGAGTTTCGGTGTGGCTCCAGAAATGTGACACCCTGACTCAAAGGCTACCACTTCTTAGTCAGCAGGGCTCCCTCTCTTTAAGATCATAACACTACATCTCAGAATGAGATCTCTTGAAAAATGAAATGGGCAAGAAAAGAAAGTAAGACTGACCAACCAGGATGCCTCAGCTGTTGGAGGCCAGAGCTCTCCTCTTATAATGAAGGCAGGCTGGCTGCCTTCAGTAGCTGCTCTCAGCTTTCCTGGAATGCCTGTTGGTGACATCACCCGTTATCTCAGCCAAAGATGCATGGCAATGTATCGTTGATCTTCTTGGAAACAAAAGGGCTCCAGATATTTCTACTAGATACCAGCATCTCCCTTTCAAATGAAGTAAAGACATACAAGCAAAACCAGTGACCAGTGTTGGGGGTAGCAAGGAACACTGTCACATACTTGGAGAGATACATGGATAAAAGGCAAATGCCCCCTCCTTCATCCAACAGCCCTTTCTCCTCTCAGTCTTCATACTCTCCCTCCCACTCCTTTTTTTTTTTGAGATGGGGTCTCACTCTGTCACCGGGCTGGAGTGCAGTGACACAATCTCAGCTCACTGAAACCTCTGCCTCCCAGATTCAAGCAATTCTCCTGCCTCAGCCTCCCGAGTAGCTGGGACTACAAGCATGTGCCATCACACCCAGCTAATTTTTGTATTTTTAGTAGAGACAAGACTTCACCATGTTGGCCAGGATGGTCTTGATCTCTTGACCTCGTGAACTGCCCACCTCGACCTCTGAAAGTGCTGGGATTACAGGCGTGAGCCACCATGCCTGGCCCCTGACTCCTATTTCTAAACATCTTACCTCTTCCTACCACCCATGAAGGTTCCTTATCTTACCAGTCTTCACCACCAACTGCTCACATGGTGTTAGGTTAGCAGGCCCCCAAAATAAACCAAGAACTTCTCACTATCATCTACAAGGCCTTTCCCAGGGGGTACAGGCAGAGGCCAGCATATGTTACAGGGAAGGGGTCCCAATCCAGAACCCAAAGAGACAGCTCCTGAATCTCATGCAAGAAAGAATTCAAGGCAAGTCCATAAAGTAAAGTGAAAACAGGTTTATTAGGAAAGTGAAGGAATAAAAGAATGGGGCCGGGTGCGGTGGCTCACACCTGTAATCCCAACACTTTGGGAGGCCGAGGCGGGCGGATTACAAGGTCAGGAGATCGAGACCATCCTGGCTAACACGGTGAAACCCTGTCTCTACTAAAAATACAAAAAAAATTATCCGGGCAAGGTGGCGGACGCCTGTAGTCCCAGCTACTCGGGAGGCTGAGGCAGGAGAATGGTGTGAACCCTGGGGGGCGGAGCCTGCAGTGAGCCAAGATCGCGCCACTGCACTCCAACCTGGGCAACGGTGAGACTCCGTCTCAAAAAAAAAAAAAATGGCTACTCCATAGGCAGAGCAGCCCTGAGGGCAGCTGGTTGCCCATTTTTATGGTTATTTCTGGAGTGTATGCTAAACAAGGAGTGGATTATTCATGTCTCCCCTTTTTAGACCATATAGGGTAACTTCCTGATGTTGTCATGGCATTTGTAAACTGCCATGGCACTGATGGGAGTATAGCAGTGAGGACAGCCAGAGGTCACTCTCATTGCCATCTTGGTTTCAGTGGGTTAGAGTCAGCTTCTTTACTGCAACCTGTTTTATCAGCAAGGTCTTTATTACCTGTATCTTGTGCCAACCTTGTATCTCATCCTGTGACTTAGAATGCCTTAACTGTCTGGGAATGTAGCCCAGTAGGTCTCAGACTTATTTTACCCAGCTCCTATTCAAGATGGAGTTGCTCTGGTTCACACATCTCTGACATAAAGGAGTCTGGGAGAGGAAGTTGAGAGCTTCACACTCTGGTGTCAGCTTAGTATTTCCTGAAGGCACAGGGTTTTGTTATTTTTTTCTCTTGCTTTTGTTGTGGTTGTTGTTGTTTACAGCGTCACTCTCAGGATATCCTGAAGGCACAGTTTAGCTAGGAGGGAAGATAATGAAGAACAAACTCAAAGGCATGATGAAAGGGAGAAAGTGCAGCAAGGGAGTGACATTTAGCCTCATTTTGTAAGTGAGGAGAACTGGGGGCTCAGAGAGGTTAAATTACTCTGTAAATGTTAAACAGCACATGAGTGCAAACAAGTTATTAATCAGGTCAAATTTGAATTCTAAGTCCACTTTAGAAATTACATCATGCCCACAATAATAATCTGTTAACATTTGTTGACTATTTACCATTTGCCAAACCCTCCTCTAAATACATTTTACATAAATAACTCATCTAATCCTCACAAAAAAAAAACATGCAAAAGGTATTAGTATTCTTTGAGGTAGACACTCATATTATCTGCATTTTACATATGAAAAAACTGAGATCACACAGTTAATGAGTAATAACACTAGGGGATTTATACCTAGATGGCCCAGCTCCAGAACTCATGTTCTTAATTCTGTCTCAATGCTGACTTTCTAATTCTTGCTCATGATCAATAATCACTTTGCTAAGCCCTTGATGGAGAAATATGCACAGGACAATGCCCAGAAAATCAAAGGCAAAGTAGCCCTTGATTTCATGAGCTGAGACCTAGGGCAAAACTTCCAACGCAGAGATCTCTGGCAAGAAAAGTGGGGCAATGTCTTTTCTCTAAGATAAGCTTAAACACTTCTAACCCAGATAAGACTCAAGAGGTCTGTTCTATTTTAACACTAAAGCTGTATTTCAGATATTAACAGCCTGAAGTAAGGTCAGCTCCCTCTCACAGAATGGGCTGAGTCCTTACTCTACATTCTGTACTGTAGGGAAGACGAACTGATAGCTTGCAGAGGGATTTGAATGTGGCCAGTGACAAGTCTTGACCCAGCTGAAAAATCATCAGCGAAGGCAGCCAAAATCAGTTGTTTGAGGATCTCATCCCAGAATTATTTAAACTGTATCATGGGCAACTCTGCTGGGACAACTAAGACTAAGAAGACTCAGTTAGAAGTCAGCGTCCCAGAACTTTAAGTCCAAGCTGGTATGAGAGAAAACCTTGCAGCTGAGTTTCCTGAAGTTTCAACTTTGACTGTTTGAATCTCCCCTTATTGCAGTCATACATGAGGTCACCGTGGCTTCAGATGCAGGAACCAGAGAGCTGAGGGGAAGACACTAAAGATAGTTAATGGCAAATGTGTTTAACTTCAAATGGGGACATCTTAGAGCAACCTTGTGGTCAATAAGGAAGTAAAGAGGCGAAGTTATTAGCCAAATCCCCACTGACTGGGGGTGATTTATTCCTTACTCCAATGCTATTGGGACACTCTGATGGCAATCTCTTTTATTCCTTCGCTTTAACCATTGCATTCGATGTGAAAACATTTGTATTTGGGCCTCTGGGGCAATGAGGTGCCCTATTCTTCTTCTCAGGGACCACAGTACAGCAACACTTAGGCTGAAGGTCTGTCTTTGCCTTTCTGCTCTGTTCAACATTGAACATGTTCCTTACCCTCTCTGAGCTCCAGGTTCCCATTTGTAAAAAGCTAAGAATGATAATAGTGATGGTACCTAATTCAGTAGGTGATTATGAGGATTAAATGAAAGAGGTGGTGTAAAATGTTCAGCATCTCATGGTTTCTAACGTATTACTCTTTTGAAGCTGGGAAAGTGCTATTGAGACAAATCTCAATTCACATCAACTCAGATATTTTCACTAGCCCCAGATCTGCCTGTTTAGCCCCATGAGGGAGCTTCAATCCTCTCCCTACTAATGGCTTTCAGTCAGCAGCCCCCTTACACTGCAGACTTTTCCACAGTACCCAGTGGGGCACATAGGGTGGACAGGAACATGTGTCCCAGTGGGAAGGACAGACATGGGGTGACTAGCAGGCCATCCAGGGGAGAGGGAGTCAGAGCTGGAGATTCTGGGGACAGTGCATGCTGCAATGCTCATACTGTCCCAGCAAATTTCAAGTTCTGGGACTCTTTTTCCCAGAGAGTTTTCAAAAAGAAAAAGGAGAGACAGAAACAAAGAGAGAGAGAAGTATTATTTTACTCACTTTAAAAGCACTGACTTTTTAATCTGTTCTTCCAAAGAGAAAATGGTTTGTGTTTCACAGTCTCATTGGAATCAGTGATCCTGAATACATTCCTTGAAACAGAGTCTCATAAATCTATATATGTACGAGTTAAAAAGATAATGAAACACTATGATTCTGGGAACCAGCAGTCCTCAACAATTAAAACACCCAAAATGCATTCATCTCAAGCTCTTCTCTTTTTGGACCCAAAGACCTTTTCTTCCATTCTCACTTATGCTCATTATAATTCAATCAAAATAATACTCAGTGAGCATATTTTTTTTGTCCAGACTTAAGAAAGCCCTGTAGAGAATACAAAATAAATAAAAGAATGAGGCCCCTACTCTCAAAGAACTTAGACCAGGGACAAGGTAAATTCAATTATTTATCCTACCAATATTGTCAGGTGCTACAGATATAATCGTGACCTAGATAGACACATTCCTTCACTATATGGAGTTTACAATCCAAAAAGGTATTGAAAATAGGCAGTGAGCAAACTTAGAGCTAAACTCTGGGTCCCAGATAAGTGGTAAGGACAGAAAAGAGGCTAGTAGTTTTCATTCATTTGAGTGCCTACTATGAACAAACACTATGAATGCTACTTTGTGTGCATTTTGCATTATTTAATTCTACAAGGAAGGGGTAGATTTTGTGTGACTTTGTGAGGGAATTAAGTGGCTGACCCAGCTCACATAGACAGCTGATGACAGAACTGGGATTGGAAACCAGGTCTGACCACAAGGGTGTGTAATTTCAGCTACTGTAGAAGTGCTATAGTACAAAGACATGCTGAAGGTGCTGGATCCAAGGGCCTAAAGAATGGATTGGCTCTCAAATCTGTGGTGCCTACTAAAACCAACTCCTCATTTGATTCTGAGGTTCACAGAAATAGACATGTATTATCACAGATTGAGCATATATGCTGTTCTTTCTTGGCCTGAGGACAAAGCCTTCTGCTTTAGAGAATCCCTTTTCCCCACTCTCCATTGAGTGAGGTGGAAGATTCCCCCATTTGTTTCTGGGGAGAGCTGGTATTAGTTTCCTAGGGCTGATACAAGAAGTTAGCACAAACTTGGTGGCTGAACATGGCAGAAATGTGTTATCTGCAACTTCTGGAAACCAGAAGTCCAAAATTAAGATATTAGCAGGGTCATACTCCCTCCCTCTCAAGGCTCTGGAGGAGGATATTTTTTTTCCTGCCTCTTCCAACTGATTGTGGGTCCTGGAATTTCCTGGCTTGTGGCAACATGACTCTAACCCCTGTTTCTGTCTTGATGCAGCCTTCTTCCCTCTGAGTTCTCTCCTCTTCTTATAAGGATACCAGTCACCAGATGTATGGGCCCACCCTAAACCCAGGAAGGTCTCACCTTAATTAAATATATCTGCAAAAACCCTAGTTCCAAGAAAGGTCGTATTTTAAGATTCTGGATGGATATGAATTTGGGGAAGCTACCATTCAACCAACTATGAAACTCCATTATCTTTTGTTTTGTATAGAGAGAGCTGGATGTTGGTCAACTCACAATTGCCTTTCTAAGCATCATATTACTTATGATGATGTTGTGAGGTGCAGTAGGAACCAAGTGGAATGGGAGCAGAGATATATTGCTTTTATTCTTAACTTCATCATTTATCAACTGTGTGACCTTGGATAATGTATTTCACATTTCTCAGGTAAGAAAATGGAGGCTTTGGCCAGGCATGGTGGCTCATGCCTGTAATCCCAGCACTCTGGGAGGCCAAAGAGGGTGGATCACCTGAGGTCAGGAGTCTGAGACCAGCCTGACCAACATGATGAAATCCCATCTCTACTAAAAATACAAAAATTAGCTGGGCGTGGTGGCAGGCACCTGTAATCTCAGCTACCAGGGAGGCTGAGACAGAAGAATCACTTGAACCCAGGAGGTGGAGGTTGCAGTGAGCTGAGATCATGTCATTGCACTCCAGCCTGGGTGACAGAGTGAGACTCCATCTGAAGAAGGAAGGAAGGGAAGGGAAAGGAAGGGGAAGAAAGGGAAAGGAAGGGGAAGAAAGAAAGGGAAAGAAAGGGAAAGGAAGGGAAACAAAGAAAGGGAAAGAAAGGGAAAGGAAGGGAAAGGAAAGAACGAAAGCAAAGAATGAAAGAAAGAGAAAAGAAAAGAAAATGGAGGCTTAGAGACCATCAGAGACATCCAAACACCCACCAAAGATTGCTGTTATCTCAATAGGTTATTATTTAAAAGTAAGTGAACAGCCAAAGATAACATTTCAAGTTTACCTTCCCTCTCATTGGGGCCCTGTGACATGCTCTTGCTTATGGAATGTGTGTCACCTCTAGGTCGAGTTGGTTAAGATGTGGTTGTACCTTTTCCATCCTCTACCCATATGCAAGCTGAAGAGGCCTGGGGTACAGGGTACAGGAGAGGATGCAGCTCCAAACATGGGCAGAACCTGAGTCCCTGAATCACAACATAGGAGACCACCCAATAACAGGGAGCACAAAGAGCAAACTGTTTTGTGAACATGAAATCAGTGTCTACTGCATCTACTAAGTCATTTAGAGTTGGGGTTTGGGAGCTGTACTTGTTATGGCACCTAATATTACCGTAAATAATCCCCTACTCAAAATCATGGACTAGAAGGGCTGAGATACAACTAAAATCTTCCTCCACACCCTATATTCTTCCCACGGTACTTTCTTTTCTAGTCTATGAAAGGCAGCAGGATCTGGACTCAGGCCAGAATCTCCATCCTAGAATCAGGATGAGCAACTGGCTGGAACAGAGTTTATCCTAAATCCCTTAGGAAATTGAGTTTGATGGATGGGGTGCAGAAAAGCAAGTGCTCAGGGTGTCATGGAGTGCACAGGAATGGTGGATTGGATAAATCAACATGAGCATTGTGGAGGGTTAGCTCAGAGCCAAATCTGCAAGGGAATCTCAGTATGGATGGCCAATTCCTCAGGCTCTGCAAAGGCAGATGTCTTTAAGATGCAGCATAACCTCTTTCAAATTTATGGCTTCCTCTTTCTCCATACAACCAACGCAATACAGAACAACTTCTCAAAGATATTTTATTGTTCTTTTACTAAACCTAAGCTCTCTCTTTTCTTTCCTGCTACAGAAATGTATTGGCCTAACATAAAGAAACCCCTAACTACAAATTCAAACATTGGATATTAAAAGTCAACTATTAGAATTAAAAAAAAATTAAAAGAACAGTTCTTATATAGTACATTCCTTTGAAAAGCACTTGTATTTCCCATTATTGAAGCAATGGTATTTTACTCAGCCAAACGTAAGAAATTTGAAGCTGTTGTAGAATATCCAGAGGAAGTTTGCAGACAGAATTTTCTTTCAAAGATTAAAGCATGTTTGAGCAAATGCTTAGCATTTTATCATACATAGGAGATCCCTTTAGAACTGGGGACTGGGGCTTTGTCAGGTGGTGGAAAAGGCCTTTATTACTGCATTTAATGCCTTGTGTTATACTTAGTTTTGTACATTCTGAGCACTGGGTTTGAAGCCTAACGGACATGATGTTCACGGATTCATCATAAGGTTTGGTCTTTGAAACCCAACGAATACTCAGATCGAGCCATGCTGGCTTCTTCCCAAGGAAGAGATACTCACAAGGGACAATGACAAATGGGAAAACTCAGCAAAATGTTACTATTAGTTGAGCTTCTGCCCAAAAACCACATGAAGAGCTCTCTGGTAAATTTAACAGAAAAGAAAGCAGAATTCACCTGAAGCCTTGGAAAGAGGGATCCACTCCAATTCCATAGACCAAAACCCCAGTTACCACCAGATGGCTGTTCTGCTCATGACTGAAAGAATGACAACATTTAAGTTTGAATAAGAGAGACAGAGAAGGACAGAAAGAAAAGAGAGAGGGAGAGAGACAGAGAGGGAGGGAGAGAGAGGGAGAAACTGTCATTATCTTAGGGCTACCCTTGTACATATAATCATCCTTACCTCTGGTATACCAAGTGGAATCAGATTTCCAGAATTTACCTATCAGATGAAGAACGTCTGAGTGAAGAGGAAAAGGAAAGCAAAAGAGGGAGAGTTGAACCCTGTGGGTGCACCTTACACCCTAAAAACCTACAGTGGTGCTCACAGAAGCCTTCTATTTGTGTGGCCTCAGGAAAGTCATCGGTCCTACATGCCTTGACCTTCCTCAGATAATTGACATGGTAAATAAAAGGAATAAAACACATAAAGTCTCTAAAGCAATGCCTAGGCTCAAAAAATCTGGTACCTTTCCTAGCTCAGATCAAAGTAAGGGAAAGTCTGAGCCTAATATAAAAGTCAGGTGGCCCCAGTTGCAGAAAGAAGAATGGAAAAGCTGAGAAGGGATTCAGGATTAGGATGATGACACAGAGTCAAACTGGAATAAGAACCAGAATTCCTGGACCAGAAGAAACAAGAGCCTGGCTCACTAGGAGACTGGAGTACAGGTCATGATGAGATCCTCAGGCAGGTTATATATCCAAGGATTTTTTTTTTTCCTTTCTGATTAAGAAGCTAGTTAGTTTCAGAGCCTGAGGCAAGCCAGGCCTGCTTTGGGGACTAAATGGCCTGTGCTGCAGGAGATCAGAGAAATATGAGGCAGGGAGCCAGGCAGGTCATTATTTTTTCCAGGTGCCAACCTACAAAGGGAGTGGAATCTGGCATTCACAAGCCAGAAAACTGCCAACATTTTTGACAACTGTCATTTGATTTAATTGTTCTGAGGCAGCATGGCTCAGCAGTAAATACACTTAGGAGGCTCACAGAGAACTCAGATATTCTGGTGGCCACTGTGACATGATGAACAACTGAATAACTCTATCAAAAGGAGAGCAGGCCAGGGGAGGGAGGGAGAGACAGCTGTGAGAAGAACTGGGCTGCCCTACTGTTCTAGTAGGAAAAAAGTCCAGGACTCAGAGCTCAGCAGTTCTTCTTCTGGGCTCTGACCCCTAATCTAGAGGTTTATGCAAAGACGCTTTTTGGTGGAGGTCTCTGGTCTACTGGGGATGATGGAGTAGTCGAGCTTTTGTAGGTTTTCAAAGACTAGGGTACAGAAGGGATTTTTTTTAAACCAGAGATGTTGAATGAAGATTCAAAGCTACAAAATCAGAGTATGGAAAGTAATGCTAATTACTTATTTATTAAACAATTACAACGTCCAAAGCACTATGTTAAGTGCCTCTATGAATTATCTCATTTCTTCCACTAATTAACCCTAATGTCTTAAGTCTGTTTTGTGCTGCTATCACATAATACTGGAGACTGGGCAATTTATAAAGAACAGAAATTTATTCTCTCACTGTTCTGGATGCTGGGAAATCCAAGCTCGAGCCAGTGGTATCTGGTATAGGCCTTACTATTGTATCCTTACATGCCGAAGGTGGAAGAGCAAGAGAGAGTGAACCCACTCCCTCCCTTTTTATAGTGGCATTAATCTATTCATGGGGGCTCAGCCCTCATGACCTAAACACCTCCCCAAAAGCCTTAAAAACCAATGCTGTTGAATTAGGGATTAGCTTCCCAACACAGGAATACTGGGGGACACATTCAGACTGTAACACCTATGGATTCAAAACAATTGTAATACCAATTGTTTAGATGATGAAACTGAGGCTTCCATATGTTAAATAACTCCCCCTGGAACACACACAGCTGGTAAGCAGCCCCTCAGGAACTCACACCAATGCCCACACTTCAAACTGCACTGCCATGTTGCCAGGAATCTGAAGTTTGATGAAAACATATACTTAGTTGCTGCTAGGATGCATTTGGCTACAAGTAATAGATTGCTTGACTGACAGCCTAAAGTGTAATAGTTACTGTTTACTTAATGAAGTCACACCCCATAGATTGGTCCCTGTCCAAAGTCTCCGAAGGTTGCTTGGCCTCTCTACTGTTATTGAAAGAAAGGGCCACACTGCAAGTATGACATTCTCACTTAACAGCTCGCATCCCATTTCTGTTCCCCTTTACAGCAAGACTCTTTAAAATAATTTCCCATACCCTCTGTCTCTCCTTTATCTCCTGCCATTCTTCCTGGAACCCAATCCAATAGGGCCATTTCCTGCACCAACCCACTGAAATGCTTCTTTGAAAGTCACCTGTGACCTCCACATTGCCTAATTCAACAGTCAATTCTCAGCCCTTACTCAACCCATAAACAGCACCTCATAAACAGGATGACCCATCCTTTGAGAAACACCTTCTGACTTTGCTGCCAGGACTCCGCTCACTCTTGGTCCCCCTTTCACCTTTATGGTCACTCCATCTCTGTCCTCTCTTCTGGTTTCTCCTCACTTGTCAACATCCAAATTTTATGTGCCTCAAGGCTCAAGATTTAAGCATCATTTTACTGTATTTGCTTCACAACCCCTAGGTAATATTATCCAGGAGAGCTTTAAACACCATTTATAAACCTATCAAAATGTATTTCTCCAGCATTAAATTTCAAACCTGAATATAAAACTGACTTTTTGACATCTACACTTAGATGTCTCCAAAGTTCACATGTCCCAAACTGAACTTTTAAGTTTCACTCCCTTTCCGAAGCCTAATTTGTCCTCAGTCTGACTCTTCTCATTAAACAGCAGCTCTGTTCTTCCAGTTGCTCAGGTCTAAAACATTGGAATCATCCTTTTTCTTTACCTTTATCAGCCTACATCCAAGCCATCAGAAAATCCTGTTGGATCTTTGAGATAAATCTAGTATCAGTCCACTTCTTAGTATCTCTCAACCTACCCCTTTAAGATGATGGTCTAAGCCCCCATCATCTCTTACATGAGCTATCAAAATAGCATCTTACTTTTCTCTGTATTTCCACCTTTGCTCCCCTATATTACATTCTCCAAAGAGCAATCAGAGTCATTTTTTTTAAAATTCAAATCGTTCCTTAACTGTAAATGTTCTAATAGCCCTCCTACTTATTCAGCTTGCTTGCAGAATCCAAGAAGTCTGTTCTCTGGCCTCCCATTACCTCTTTGATCTTAATTCCTATCACTCTCACCCAAACTCAGTATAACTGTGGGATCTGACCTACTAGAATGTTATATAGTCAATTTAGATAGTAATGACCAGGACATTTTAATGAAATAGAATAAAATATAAGAGACACTATCACAGTGCATTACACACAGTAAAGGTGGGTTCTTTTGTGAAACTTTGAATTCAGTGTGTGTGAGGGCATGTGTGTGTGTACTTGGTTAGAATATAAGATTTATTTCTCACTGTGGGTCATGGTCCAAAAGTTTGGCACTGGCTTACCCTGCTCCAGTCACTCAGATACCTTTTTAATTTCTCCAACATGCCAATCATTCTACTGCCTGAAGGACTTTGCCCTTATTACTCTCTCGCCTGGAATTTTCTTACACAAGATATCTGCTCCCTCACCTCTTTTCACTCTTTACTCAAGGTTAACCCGATTAAAGAGGTCTTCTCTGGTCACACTGTATAAAACAGCACCTCATCGCTATCTTCCCATTCTGCTTAACTTTTCTTCATATTGCTTCTCACCACTACAGGTTAATTTTTGAAACTAGATTATCATCTACCTTCCTCCATTATAAGTTCCATTAGGGTAGGGATTTTGTCTGTTCTGTTTACTACTTTTCTAGAGATCCTATTTTAGTTTCTGGCACACAGTGTGAACTCAGTAAGTATTTTTCAAATACATTAATGACACAACCCAATCAAGAAGGAAGGAGGGCAGCCGCAGAAATAATTCTCTAACCACCGTTTGTTGTCTTTTAACAGGGTAGTCTCCAGCAACTTTCCTCTTTCATCTCGTTGTTCAGAAGTTGATCATATGACTACCCCCAAAGCAGTATCAGTCCAAGAGGAAGTCAATTTCCACTTTTGGCTTAGACCAACCATGACTCATTCTGAGGAGATGGTGGTGAAGCTTCCTACCTGGTGCCTGCACAAAATTGGATTCTATTAGTCAAGAAGGACTTGGAGTGCAGGAGGAATGGACGTTCCAGGTAACTAGTAGGATATGTCACAAAGACCTCAGAACGTTCAGGCATGCTCAGCAGTGAGGTGTAAGACCTATGCCTTCAGAGGCATGCAGTATGGAGGAAGAAGACTCTAGGAAGGGCCAAGTGAATTGTCCAAACCCACAAAGCCCCTAAGTGGTGAAGCTGTAATTCAAACTTGGGTTGTTTTGGCCCAATCTCTACTCTTCTAAGCTTTGAACCTCAATTACTTTGTGTCTGTGAATTTCAGCTTCCTGAATGTGTAAAAGGGAATGTCATTAGCTACTGAGGAAAATAAGATAACTTCATAGCAGAAAGGACAAAGACACAATATATAAATCTTAGAACTATTCTGGTTGTGATTTATTGAACACAGAATTTTGTCAGGCAGGGCTTTCTCATTCTTTGAAGGGAGAAACTGACCCCCTCCACATACAAGCCATTTGTCTTTCTTGAAACATCTATGAAGTATGTAAAAATATAAAATTCCTGGAATTGGAATCTAGGCATTTTAGTTTGAATCCTAACTCTACCTAGACAGCTTTGGGTAAATCACTTAAACCTTCTGAACCTAAGTGCTCTTTTCTGAAAATGGTTATATGTATACTTTTTTCATGAGATTGTTGCAATTACTAAGAAACATATATATGTATAGAGTATGTTGTAAAATAGGTGAGCAATAGTTGTAATAATAGAGCAATTAATCTTCAATGCCCACAATATCCTATCACAATTTTTGGAGGAAAGAAGGGGCTAATTAACTCCTAGTTTCTCTTAACCATGTTATATTCTCTGCAATGAGGAGTCAAATCTCACCAAATGCTCTTCTTTCTAGAGATGAGAATAAGGCATTTCTCCAGGAGAATTGATCTCTCTCATTAGAAGGGGTAGGAGAAGCCTCATTCAAAACGCTGAGTGTACTTCAAGTAGGGAAGGAAGAAGCTAGGGCAGAAACATGAGCTGAAAGCTCCCAGCTTCCCTAAATAAACTGAATTCCTCGCCTAGCAGTCACGAATCCATATTGGGCCCTGTGTGTGGGCATCAGGTTGGAGGCCTCCTTATCTGCCTTCCCCAGCTCCTGGCACAGAGTCAGGACAGGACCCAACTCCATTTTAAATAGCAGGGAGAGTTTAGTTGCTCCATCTCGGGGGACATCAACAAATTCATATCCAAAAATGTTTAGTGAACATTTTTGTGTGAGACACTGTTCTAAGCTCTGGGGATAAAACCATGAAAAAGTTAGACAAAATATCTATTTTGATGGAGCTTATGTGGTAATAAATTTCAGAACAATTAAACTAATAAAATAGCTTCAGCTAGATGTGAGTGCTGTGAGGAAAATGAAATAGGGTAATGTGAGAGGGTGGCAGGGCATGAGGACAGAACTCTATTAAATAAGGCAGTTGTGGGAAAACTTTTCTAAGAAGGCAGGTTTGAACAGAGACAGGAGAAATTACGGGGTAGGTCTTATTCCTATTCTGAATACAGGCCGTCCTCATTATACACAGCAGTGCAGGGCCATGACCACACACGCTGAAGAAAGCAGTCTTAACCCTGGAAAAAAATACGATTTCATGACCTTTAAAAATGTTTGTCAAAGCATTTCTGTCATTCATAAATGTAAAGAGAGATAAAATAAAACTAATAGTCCAATTTCCCTCCTATGTATATCTTCTCTGTGTGACAGAATTCTGTTTCTGTCCCATTCACATTAGATTTGCTGAAGACAATTGAATATGAGCAGAAATGACGATGTAACTTCTCAGCCAAGTTTTAAGAACTAGCCCTGGGTTTGCCATGTCTTTATTTTCTGTCCTAATTAGGGACTGCTCCATATGCTGGTAAAGTAAGGATAATGTAGACCGCCACATAGTGCTCTTGAAAGGTGAATGAGAAATACACCTTTATCATCCGAGGTGATGAAATTAGTGCATATCAGAAACACCCAGAAGGCTTGGTAAAGCAGATTGATGGGCCCCATCCTTAGAGTTTCTCATCAGTAAGTCTGGGGTGGAGACCAAGACCCTGCATTTCTGACAGGTCCCCAGGTGATACTGTTGCTGCTGTAAGAATTGCTGTTCTAAGCCATGAAAATCTGGGGATTCAGTTGTTAGCGCAGTGTAACTTAGCTACACTGACTGCTACAGAGGGGAAATAAAGCAGTTATGCACAGATTAAAAAAAAAAAGAGTAATTCAGGCAGAAGGTACTTCAGGGTTTTGGAATCAGATTTAAGTTAAAATCCAACTACTTACTGTGTGCCAGGCAGTACGCCAAGATACATGACGCTGAATGAGAATTCCTGCTCTCAGGAAGCTTATACCTTTTGGAATATTTATTCAAGTTAAAAAATGATACCTTAACTACTTCTGTCGCCCAAGAGAGTGACACTTTTGATTCTGCTAAATGACTTTATATTGAATCAAGATGAGTTAATTTGAGTATTTCTTCCAGAGATTTCAAATTTGGTTAAAGATATTCTGGTTACACCTGATCTATTATTGTAGAAAATGTTAACTGAAGATTCTATTGGACGGACATCAACAACTTCGAATGTGTAATGAGTAGAAAGAAAAAAATAGCCTTCAGTAGAATAGGGAGGAATTCTTCAAAGAAAACTAACATATGAGCTAGGGAGATTGTCCTCATGTCTTTCCAGATTCTGGCTCCAATTCTGTCCTAAGGCCCAGCTGTTTTCTTCTTCTTGGGTAGCTTACATGAGATACTTATGTATTTTTATAATGAAATCCCCCAATCCCTGTATCTTTTTTTTTTGCTTTAGCAGACCCCAGAGGATATTTATAACTTACGTCCAAAGAATCATAAGAATGAAATTTTAAAACAAATAAATGCAATACACCGTGATAAGCGCAGCGCTACTGGTCTATTGAATGCACTGTGAATGACTGATGAGCTGATCATGCTAACAACTCAAGCACATTGTCCTTATGCTCTAAAATTGCAAGATAGATGTAATGACATACTTCTTTGGCAGCACTTCAATATATAATAACTCACTAAGATATTATTTTCAACTGACCAGACACTGCTTTTAGACAGGATATCCTATAGGGAATTGTAGGAGGTGGAGTATTCTGTTTGTACTCAGAGCCAATGAGGGGGAAGACTTGAAAGGAAGAGGATTTATGTTAAGGCTTTACTAGGTTTTATTCACTGTCTAGCCCAATGCTCACCCTAGGCCTCAGAGGAGCCCCCTGCTTGGTTCCAGAAACCAACTTCAGCCCTGCTTCCTGCACCAAAGCACTCAAATTCCCATCTTGGTCACTGATGTGTAACATTACCTGCTGATGGAAATGTTTCTCTTTTTTTTTTTTTTTTCCTTGAGACGGAGTCTCACTCTGTCACCCAGGCTGGAGTGCAGTGGCATGATCTTGGCTCATTGCAACCTCTGCCTCCCGGGTTCAAGCGATTCTCCTACCTCAGCCTCCCGAGAACCTGGGACTACAGGCACCTGCCACCATGTCCGGCTAATTTTTATATTTTTAGTAGAGATGGGGTTTCACCATGTTGGCCAGGCTGGTCTCGAACTCCTGACCTCATGATCCACCCGCCCCAGCCTCCCCAAGTGCCAGGATTACAGGCACGAGCCAATGCGCCTGGCCTGTTGTCATTTTCTAACTGGTCTGTTCAGTGCACACACTACAAGGGGGATGATGAGGCATTACTGCCTCTTAAGGTGCATTCATTCCTTCATTTATTCATCCACCCATCCAATCATGCATTTACTTATTCTTTTTAAATGTAATTATCACCCATGTATCATGAGTCAGACCTCATGCTGTAGATATACAAATGCAATAGATATAAACAAAAGTAAAATATTATTTCTACCTTCCAAGAATCTGCAGTCTTATCTAGTAGATAAGAGCATTGACTTTGAAGTTTCTTCTTCTTTAAAATGACTTGTTTATTATAAATTGGTTTAAATATTCACTGAGATATCGCATGTAACTAAAGGATAAAGAACACTCTGGTACTTCGATAAGTGTTCCGATAGTATGTATTCTATCCTTTTACTTTTGGCTTATCTGCGTCTTTATATCTAAGGGATTTATTACAAAAAACAGAGTCAGGTCTTGCTTTTTCATCCAATCTGACCATCTCTGGAGTGTTATAACATTTTGATACAATGTAATTATCAATGTGGTTGGGATTTAAACCACTATATTGAATATTTGTTTTCTTTTTATTCTATCTTATTATTTTTTCCTCTTTTACTACCTTATTTTGAATTAATTAAGTATACTTTAGTATTTCATTTTGTTTCCAATATTGGCTTAATCACTATACTTTTGTTTTTGTTTTGTTTCTGTTTAGCTGTGGCTCTCAAGTTTACAATATACAACTTTAATCACAGTCTTCCTTCAAACGACATTATACAACTTCATGAATAGCATAAGCATTATATATCATTGCAATTTCTTTTCCCTCTTCGCATCCCTTGTCCTAGTATTGTTTTATCATTTTCTTCTAATGTGATAAACCCCATAATATGTTGTAAACATCTTTGCTTGAAACAGTCAATTAAGTTTTAAAGTGATTACAAAAATGAGGAAAAAAGTATTTCACATTTATTCCAATAGTCACCACTTCTGGTGGTATTTATTCCTTTTTGTAGACTGCAAATCCTATCTGATATCATTTTTCTTATGCCTAAAGAGCCTAAAGTTTCCTGTAATGCAACTTTTTGTAAATTGTCCCAGCTTGTACTTTTCCAAACAGTTTTCTTTTTAATTTTTGAAAAATATTTTCACTGTAGAAACCATATTTTCTGTTCAATCCTTTAAGTATATCACCTCAATGTCCTCTAGTCTGCATACACTTTGAGAAGAAGTCTGCTGGGATTGTTAAATTTGTTCCCCTGTATGCGATGTGTCCCCTCCCCAGCTGCTTTCATTTTGTCTTTATCTTCAGATCAGTTTTTTCAGATATTTAACTCTGATGTGTATTTACATGATTTTCTTCAAATTTCTCTACTCACTACTCATGATTCATTGAGTTTTTTGATTCTGTATCATTCTCATCAAATGTGAAAAATTTTTAACCATGACTCCTTCAAACGCTTTTCTAGTTTCCCTCCTTCTGAAATTCTACACATACATCATTTAGATTGTTTTACGCTGTCTCACAGAAGATTTTCTTGCACATGTTATAAAAGATTTGAGTTCCTCAAGCTTGCAGTTCCTAATCTGTGACCCCTCCATGCTGCCCCTGTGCAACTGTGGAGGCAGGGGTAGCTAATGCAGACCTGCAGCTCAGGCTGCCCGCTGTACTGGGAGCAATTGGGTCGCTTTGTCTCTGATTCAGGAGGCTCATGTCACCTGCCAGAATCTGGGAAACTATAGCAGTAAGGTGAAATCTCAGATACTTCATGGTTCTCAACAGTGGACACCACATCATCCTTTACACCACACAGCATAGGCCAATCGTGATAATTCTATCCCCCCGTGACAGAGATCCACTAGGGTATGAACATTAGGTCTGATTCTAGCCAATGGTATAAGAGAGGAATATTGTGGTGCTTCTGGACAAACTTTCTGTTTTCGAAGAAAGAGAAGAAAGAGGAGGAAGAGGAGGAAGGCAGGGACAGAGGCAGGAGCAGGAGGTGGAGAAGAAAATGGCAGCACAGGCTCTAGCCCTGTTTTTCTCCTGAGTGGCTATTTTTAATCAGTCCAAATCAGTCAAAAGATCCTGAAAATAGAAGAGCACAGAAGAACCTGGGTCCTAGATCATATGGTTGACTTAATGAATCAACTAACCCTGGAAGCTTCCTATATGTGAACTTTTCTTTGCCTGAAATAAATTTTCTTATTGTTTGTACCAGTTTGAGTCAGAGTCTCTGTTATTTTAAGCCATTATAACAGATAGAGACAGAGACAGAGAGACACAGAAACCATGAGAGAAACAGGAAAAAAAAGAGAGAGAGAAGAAAAAAGGAGAGAATAAGAAAGAAAGATATATTCAGAAGATCAATCCTGAGAGCCTGATATAGACCAAAAACTTCTTCCACACTCAAAGGCAGTAAAAACCAACCAGACAGAGAAGGAGACACCCCTTGAGATGGAGGACTGGGGACAATGAGAAAATTGGTCATCAAAAGACAGTTTTGGGGAGGTATTTTCTTTGGAGACAGGGGCCTGCTCTGTCACCCAGGCTAAAGCTCAGTGGCACAATCACTGCTCACTACAGCCTTGATCTCCTGGGCTCAAGTGATCCTCCTACCTCAGCCTCCAGTGTAGCTAAGACCACAAGCATGTACCACCATGCCCAGAGAAAAGTTTATTTTTTATGTTTTGTAGAGACAAATTCTATGTTGCCCAGGTTGGTCTTGAACCCTTGGACTCAAGCAATCCACTTGCCTCAGCCTCCCAAACTGCTAGCATTATAGGCATGAGCCACTGAGTTTGGAAAAAGACATGAGCTTTGTGGGAAGCTGGAATACCTTACCCTACATCTGCAGCCTCTTAGAGTCCTTTTGCTTGCAGTTATACAGTCCGTTCATGATTATTAATTTTACTGTTGTTGTTGCTGTTACTGTAACAAAAGAGCATGAGGGAGAGAGACCAAAGGTGAGAAAACATTGGTCCCACATCAAATAGAGCATGTTCTCAGTTCCAGTCTTCTAAGAGACCTATGAAGGCTGCTGATGAAGATCTCCGGAGAGCACAAAGAGGGGACCAGCAACACCTATGGCCTTCCTCTCCATTTACTGTCTTCTCAGCCCTCTACCACCACTCACTCATCACCCCATCCCAATCTTAGTCCCCACTCTGCCAGGGCTGGCTCTGGATGTAACTATCTCTGTGACGTTTCAGGGAATATAGGTTAGGCCTTCTGATTCTCAGTTATCATGGGTGTCACAGTGCTTGGCATGTATAGAACTCTCTATTGGATGGATGGATGGATGGATGGATGGATGGATGGATGGATGGATGGATGGATAAATGGGTAAGTGGATGGATGGTAGAATAATAATTAAATATCTGAGTTTCGGAATCAGGCAGAATTGGTTTAGAATCCAATTTCCTTTACTTACGACCTCAGTAATCATGGGCAGATGATAAAGTTTTTCCACAGTACGATTTTCTCATTGGAAAAATATTACCTAAATCATGGAGTAGAATATTCAGTAAATATTAGCTTTTCAGAAGTCACTACAGGAGCTAGCTTATTGGATGTTGAAGAACCTTCCTTGAAGATTATTTTGATAATGATGAACAGGATGAGGTAGATGTTGAGATAGGGAAAGAGAAGGAAAAGTATAAAAGATCATGTAAAATTCAAGAATGAATTAAATGATTCTTGGCATCTGAAGAGCAATGCTGAGATAAGTAGATTAAGCAACCAGCTACAGGGATCTCAATGTACATCCAAAAGTAATTTAGAGAGAAGGAAAAGGGAGAGGTATATACTCCACTTTCTCCTTCTGTAAACTTGAGAAGGTGAGTTTGGAAGTGGTTTCAGTTTTCATTGCTGATGTTCTAACTTGGAAAGCCATTGGAAAGTAGTTAACCTTAAAGGCTCTGATTCAAAATTCTTTGTAATTTCTCTCCCCATGGCCATAACAGGTAGGAGTCAGTGTCCAGGCCGGATGTGGTGGCTGAGGCCTGTAATCCCAGCACTTTGGGAGGCCGAGGCAGGCGGATCATGAGGTCAAGAGTTCAAGACCAGCCTGACCAATATGGTGAAACCCTGTCTCTATAAGAATACAAAAGTTAGCTGAGCTGAGCCTGTAATCCTAGCTAGTAGGGAGGCTGAGGCAGGAGAATCACTTGAACCCGGGGGGCAGAGGTTGCAGTGAGCCAAAATCACGCCACTGCATTCTAGCCTGGGTGAGAGGGCAAGGCTCCGTTTCAGAAAAAAAAAAAAAAAAAAAGAGTCAGTGTCCATACAGGAAGTCAGGAGCCACATTAGGTATTTCAAAAAGAAAAGAGGAAGTATAAAAAACTAGTTTTCAACATGCTGCCAAGGCCTAAATACAAAAAGAAGGTGTGATAACATGGTAACACAGAGATGATTAACTGCAGGGAGTAGCAACCACCCCAGGGCTGGAGGAACATGGGATGAGAGATGGCATTAGCAGAGCCCAGGAGTGTACCTGCTACAGCAGGGCTGGGATGCTGCGGGTCAGAGCTGGAGCTGCCCAGGAGAGATGGTCCTAGTCAGTGCTAGAGCCATGCAGGAGGGTGCTACTGAAAGAACTGAAGAGGGGACACCCTGCTGAGGCTATGGTCACCAAAAAGAGAGAAGCTGTGGCTAAAGCTTAGATTATGTAAAAGGATGCAACCCTTTCTGAAGACACAGCCAAAAGCAGGAAAATGGAACAAATTCAAGACTTTCCTCTCCCTAACAGTGTCTCCTTGTTGGCAAAAGCAAACAAGAAGCCAGATGGTAGGAGAGTTCAGGAAGTGTAATTCACACCGGCTCCCAGCTTTGACATTATAGGAAAAGGTACAGGAAGATCACCTCTACTGGAGAAAGGAGAATAAGCTGCAAGGAAGGAGATGATTACACTGATGATGGCCATGACAACGATGATGACTACTACAGTAAAAATAACAACGGCAACAAATAGCATTTACGACCAGGCACTGTTCTCTAAGCACTTTGCATTTATTGGGAGGGAGAAAGAGGAAAAAGGAGAGGAAACCAGGGGTAAAGAGAGTGAAGAAGGAGGAAACCACAGTGCCATGAGATTTAGCATTTCATCCCTGAGAAATTTCATTTTGTCCTTCCTCTCAATCACATCCCTCCTCTGTACAGACAAAGGAGGAAAAATTAACATTTATTGGATGACAGCTAGGGGCTAGGCACTGTGCTGAGAAATTTTACTACATTACCATATTCAATTTTCACAAGAATCCTGTTAAAAAGGAAAACAGGCTAAAGAGGTTAAATAACTTGCTCACAACCTGCGAATAGTTCACTGACAGTAAAATTTAGTTCTGATTCTATCTGTCTGAAGCTCATGCTGCTAGAAATTAAGTGGAAAAAGTAAAAGCTGTTCTCACTCAGACACCCAACCAACGCTCATCCCTACTTCTTCTCAGAATACTGCTTGGATCTACCAGGAGGCTCTGTGGCCCTGGTGCTGCCTTTTAACTAGGAATGTATGTAGCGAGTTGGAAGCCTCTAGCCTGGAGCAAGCCACGCTGCCCTAAATGGGATGTGCTTTGAGAGAGGGGTTTTGAAGTTGATAATGAAAGTAATTCTTCCCCTAATGGAGCCGAAATAGCAGACCTTGAAAGCCTGTCAAGCAAAGAATAGTTTAAAAGAAAAAGAAAAAAAAGACAGAAAAATTAGAAGTGCCACCATAATCCACTCCCTAAAAAGAGGAATATAATTCAAGAAACAGTAAGTTATCTAAACTGAATAGCAGGAAGAGACCCATCAACTGTCTTGCAAGGAGCTGCAGCTGTGAAGGCTCCCTGGTGTACAGGTGCCTCTGTTGGGAGAGTAGCAACCTGAACTGTAGTCGGTCAAGTACATGTCAATGTGAACAGGTTTAGTGTCCTTTACTGGAGAGACCACCTTGATAATGGAAGGAGATAGAAGCATTCATGCCCTAGTGCTCAAAGCAGGAAGCAAAAGGGACCACAGTATTAGTTTTCTATCATTGTTGGTTTCTATCACTACAGAACAAATTATGACACACTTAGTGGCTTAGAACAACCCACTTATTATTATCTCACAGTTTCTGTGCATCAGGAGTCTAGGCATGACTTAGGGTCCTCTGATCAGAGTCTCAAAAGGTGGCTATCAAGTTGTCGGTCAGAGCTGGGTTCTTGTACGAGGTCTCCTTTCAACCTCATGTGGTTGTCAGACAACACTCAATTCCTTGTAGTCGCAGGATTTGTGGACTTGCTTCTTCAAAGCCAGCCACAGAGAAAGAACAGCAGGGAAGATTGAGAAAGTCAGTCTCGTGTGAGTACACCAGTGGAACATGCCCTTATGCAACATAACGTATCACAGGAGTGAAGTCCGTTCACCTTTGATATACTTATTGGTTAGAAGCAAGTGATAAGTCCCATTCATAGTGAAGGAGAGGGAATACTAGAAGGACATGAACCCCAAAAGCCCCAGAGGCAGGAGTCAAGAGTCTGTCTTCCACAGTCACTGAGGCTGCAGACCAGAGTAGTGATAAGATGCTGATAAGAACCTCCCTGGCTTTCTTACCTTCTCTCTCTCTTCATCTTATCCTATACACCCACTCTTTTCTTACCTTGCACTCCCACCAACCCCGTAACACCATGCAGCAGCTTCTGATCTTTCCACATTTCCCAGGGATCCATTTGCCAGGAAACAACACCAGAAGACTTTGCTGCTCACGGCTTTCCTGGAAGTCCGGGAGAAGGAAAGAAGGCCTTTGGAGGGCTCTGTGTGCATCAGCAGATACATTTCTAGGGCCTCTGCCCCAGGGCCTAGTGTGGGAATGGATTAGCAGGTGATGAGAAGAGGCATGGCTATGTTTAAACCTTCTCACCTATCTAATCTCTTATTGACTGAGAAACATCACAGGGAGGTGTCTGGTAGGAATTAACACTAATTCCTTCCCAACTCTTCAGTGTCCTGGCTCACCCACTGTCTCCTCTGCTGGATGCTCCACGTGGGGTATGTCAGTGAGAGAGGATCCTGGGTAATTGATTAAAAGACTAACACCCCCCTTTGGAAATACATTATCCCTGATCCCACCAATGCTTCCTTAAATAAAACACAGTAAAAGTAAGATCTGGGGCATCCCAAATGAATTAAGAAAGAAAAATGAGAGTGGGGGTGAACACAGAAACAGCATGGGTTTTATTTAAAGAAGAAAGGAGAAGAGATCAAAGAAAAGAAAAATGAAAGAAAAGGAGAGAAGAGAAAAATAAAAGGACTAATTTTTCTCTTAAAGCTTAATTCTGCTGCTAACTGGATCAGACGAGGCCCCCAGGAACCTGTTCATTCACAGTGCATAGTTAGGCTTGCTAAAGGGTGGGATTCAAGGTAGTGAGGCTTCCAACAGGAGCCACATGGTCAGGGACAGGGTCCTGCTGATTACGAAGGTCCTGGCTCTTGTCTCCCAGGTCCAGATTTCCCAGTACATAGCCTGAGACAGAGGAGATATTCTGGAAATGTTTGTCAAATGCACCGGTATTTTGTTTCTTATGCCAATCTTGATTAAGTCATTCTCCTCCAAGGCTATGGTGACCCCATTTTTATGCACATATTATCTATTCATCCATTTATCAGATATTTATTAAGTGCTATGCTACCTACTCAATGTCAGTCACTGTGATGATAAATAGTGCTCTAATAGTGAATCAGCTGACATGGTTACTTTCCTAATGAGCCCCTGCTGTTGGGCAGAAATCCATACAACCTAAACAGTGTTGAAAGTAATACGTTTTAAGTTAGGCACTTAACCCCAATTTTATGGGATACAGAAAACATTTTGGAGCAAGGTACTTCTAAGACCTAGTTGGTGAAAACAGGCAAGATGGCTTAGCACAGGTGTATTTCATTTAAAGGGAAGAGCATGGTAAAAGGCCCAGATGTCAGAGCAGCTCAGTAGAGAAGATGAACATTATTTAGAAGGATGAGAGCAGGGACAAGTGCAAGCTTCCAAGTACAGGAAGGTGATATAATTTGGCTGTGTCCCCACCTAAATCTCATCTTGAATTGCCGTTCCCATAATCCCCATGAGTCGTGGGAGGGACTTGGTGGGAGGTAATTGAATCATGGGGGCAGTTACCTCTATGCTGCTCTCATGATAGTGAGTTCTCCTGACGGTTTTATAAGGTGCTTTTCCCCTTTTTGCTGGGTACTTCTGCTTGCTGCTGCCATGTGAGGAAGGACATGTTTACTTTCCTTTCTGCCATGATTGAAAGTTTCCTGAAGCCTTCCCAGCCCTGTAGAACTGTGAGTCAATTAAACCTCTTTTCTTTATAAATTACCCAGTCTTGGGTATGTCTTTATTAGCAGTGTGAGAACAGACTAATACAGAAGGACGGGGGTCCTGAGACACAAGCCTAGAGGAATGAGCAGCATTAGTCTATGTTTGGTATTTTCTTCTGAGAGAAATGGAGAATGTCCAGAGGACTTTAAGCAGAAAGAACTACATGATCAGACTTGTGTTTAAAAAGCTTTACCCCTGGCATGGGGAATAGATTAAAGGAGATAAAACTGAAGGTAGTCAAACTAGTTAGGAGGCTAAAAGAGAACAGTCCAGATCAGAGATAAAGGTGACCTGAATATAGGTAGAAGTGGAAGAGATGGGGAGAAATGAAGAGATTTGGTGGGGAGAGCGGGGGGGCGGGGGGGGGGAACTGCTAGAATTGAATGGCTAACTGGACTTAGGGGAAGTGTCAGGAATGACTTTCCTCCTGGTATTGGTCTTGTGTAACTGGGTGGAGGGTGGTGCCATTTACTGGAGGGAAGACAGATGATGGGCTCAAATACAGAGGAGCTCAGTTATCTATGGAATGTCCAAGTGGAGACACCCAGTAGGTTTCGGGAGGGAAGCCTGGACTAGAGACCAATATTTGGGCAGCATCAGCATGGGGTGGTAATGAAGGCCACAGCCCAAGTGAGTCTGGGCCAGGAGACATGGATCCTGCAGCCACGCCCCCACCTCTCTGCTCATGCATCCCCCCTGGGTCAGATTCTTGACTCCCAGCCCAAACAAGAAGTGTAGATATGGCTGAGCTCCATTAAAACAAATCTTGCAGCAGTGTTTTGGTCGGGGGACTTCCTTAGCATCAGGTTTGGGCAACAGAAAAGCTTTCTGCTGTTTCTACTGTGATTCCTAGAGCCAGAAATGTGTATTTGGAAAGTTGGCTATTTTTATACTGCCTATATTTGCTGCAATTATTTCCTTTCAGTTTCCCTTAGTGTTTAGTAAAAATCTTTCCAAAAATATAAGCCTGTCTCAGTTGTGTGAAAGGCACAGAAGTAAAGAAAATTTTGTCAAGCTTGGAGCCAACTATTTAAAAGGTGGCTGTGGCTTTAGGAGGCTTGGCTTGGTGTCACAGGAGGAACAAGCTGGAAGGAGACCCACAAGGAAAGTAAAACCCTGAAGAACAGAGTTGGGGGTCACTTGTGCAGCCACCCCTTGCCACCTGAAATTAATCTTCCAATCTGGTTCTCTACTACCACTTGTAGTGGAGTGTTGTGGAAAGATAAAAGACACTGGTGTCAGAAATGAATTTGAACCCTAACACAACCACTTAGCAAACTGAGAAACTTTGGGCAAATTACTTAATTATTCTGGGCCTCCATCTTCTCATAGGCAAAATAAAAATAATAACGAACTTGGAGTGTTTTTAGAATAATGCCTGCAAAACTCAAGGCTTAGAGCAAGCGCTCAGTATATGGTGCCTGTTGCAATTATTACCCTGTGGGTGGCCGTAAGTAATGAAAATGGCCAAGGACTAGAATTCAGAAATCAAAGATGGTCCTTAAGTAACAGAATCAAGTGGACCAAATGGCAAACATAATGTAGGTTAGCATCTGGTCAAAGCCAGGCAATGAGTTCAAACCCAAGAGGTCTGCAGGAAGCAGAAGGACAGAACAAAGTACATAAGCGTCCCCAACCTTGAAAAGATGGCAGCCTGAGATCATGTCCTGCTCTAGCTTCTCGCATTTCTCTTGCTGGAACAGAGGTCTACTCCTGGGCTTGGTTTCCCTGTGATCTGAGGCTGGTCCAATAGCCAGAGAGAGCAGGTGGCTGGAACATTATGGTTTTTCTGATATGCTGAGGTGCTCTCTCAAATCATTCATGCTGAGTCCTTGCTGCTTGCCAGTGGCTCTGAGTATAGCCCACAAGCTCTATTTTTCCTATCCACTCTTTCCCACAATCCCTAAGAAATTGAGCAGGATAAAACCTCAACTGCATTTCTACCTGAGCACCTTCCAAAGACTGGGTGAGTGACTACACAGAGAGCAACTCATGGCCTCCAGCCCATTTCCTCCCCCTTGCCAGTTGTCTCTGTTCCTCTTCCCACCTGCCTCCAGTGGGGGTGGATGGATTATAGTCACTTCCTAGGAATTAGAGCTGGAGAGATGACAAAATTGCTAGGGAGCAGGTGTATCTGGCATGGATTCACTCTTTTTGGTGGGGGGTAGATATTTACATCACTGGAGCTGAAAGAAATCATGAAAATCACAGAATCCAGGGGCTGCAAACTCAAATGTAGTCGCCTCAATTCCTCACTCCTTTGTCCTTGGGTCAGAAAAGTGCCCTTCCTGAGAGGCCAGCACATGGTGCTCTCCTGGGGGCACAGGTCTTAAGTTGTCAAAAGAGAATGAGCTTCAAGACTTTTATTCAGAGGAGGGGGATGGAAAGTCATGCCCCTGCTCCTGAATGTGAACGGGGAACCAAGTGGCCCCAGGAGCTGTCAGCATCTAGATCATTAACATAAGAAGTCAGCCTGAGATCAAAGGAAACCACAAAGGAGGGTAGAACCAAGAGATCTGGGGGCAAAGCACAGGAGGACAGGGTAGATTGGAGTTGAAGCCACAGATGTATTGTGAGCCCCTAAATGAAGGAAACTCTGAAACCTGCAGTGCTTTGGGAGTTCCTAGCTGGTGTGCCAGCAAGCCAGTTTGAGTCAGATTTTCCATTCCTTGAAATGTGGGAGCTTCTTCCTGATTTACTGAGGAATCCCTACCCTACTGTTCTCCTCCCACTTTAGATCAACATGGGCCCAGAGTCAAGGAAGCCCTTCTTGCCTTACTCCTTTCTGCACTCTATTTAGAATGCTGGCTGCCCTTTGACTTTGGGAAAATTACTTAAGCTTTTAGGGTTTCAGGTTATCAGTGAGGTGGGACAGTAATAGGCCCACCTCATATAATGTACTTAGCCCAGCACATAAGTGCTCAATGGATACTGGTAGTGGTGGTCATCATTGTAAGTAGTAGTAGTAGTAGTAGTAATAGTAGTATTGGTGTTGATATTAGTGATGCTTAATTTTATGTGGTAACTTGACTGGCCACAGGGTGCCTCAATTTAACACTTTCTGGGGGTGTCTGTAAAGGCATCGCTACATAAAATTGGCATTTGAATCAGGATTTGGGCTCAGAAAAGCAGATGGCCCTCCCCAGAATGGGTGGGCATCACCCAATCCACTGAGGGCCCGGATAGAACAAAAAGGTAGAGGAAGGAGGAATTTGCCTCCCTTTTTTTTTTCCTGCCTCATTGCTTGAGCTGGGACATGTCATCTCATCTTCTCCAGCAATCATGCTGGAATTTACACTGTCATTTCTTCTGGATCTCAGGCCTTCAGACCCAGACTGAATTATACCACTGACTTTCCTGGGACTCCAGCCTACAGAGATCAAGCAGGCTGCAGATTGGGGGACTTGTCAGCACTCATAAACATGTAACACAATTTATATATATATATATATATATATATATATATATATTATATATATTTTATATATATTATATATATTTTATATATATATTATATATATTTTATATATATATTATATATATTTTATATATATATTATATATATTATATATATTTTATATATATTATATATTATATATATTATATATATATGTTTTATATATATTATATATATAAAATATATATATTTTATATTTATATTTTATATATATATGTGTCTGTATCTCAGCACAGAAATAGAATATACTTATTTCATCCCTTTCCATTGAATATATACATACATTTTATATCTATTATATATATATAGAGAGAGAGACAATACATATATGTAGGTATATGGAGAGAGCAAGGGTATATAGTATATAAATTAATCTGTAAATATACGTTTTATAAATGTATATCTATATGTTCATATATACATATATAAACCCTCTCTCTCCATATACCTACATATATATGTATGTATATATTCAATGGAAAAGGATGAAATAAATATGTGTATATATATATATGTATTCTATTGGTTCTGTTTCTTTGAGGAACCCTAATACAGCATTATTACCCAAACCCTAATCCTGAGAAAGTTCTTCCAAATCTGCCATGTGCCCTCCCCCAACTTCCCACCCAATACAGGTCCATTATCATCCCTGCTCTACAGTCTGGGGTAAGTTACTGGGGTAAGATCAGTTAACTTCATATCTGTTCTTGCACAATCTAGGAAAAAGCACAAGGTTTAAGAAGGCCTGGAAGGGGAGACCTAGCAAGTTGCCAGTTGAGAAGAGTAATGGTGTGACCTGGGTGACAGCCAGATCAAGTTGTCTTATCAGAGCAGCTGACAGAGAAAACAGCTGAACAGACTAATCCAAAGCAAAGCCCTTACTGTTGCACTGCTAGCCAACCCAGGCATACCCAAGTCAATTAATAAGCCTAAAGATAAGGAGCAGGGTGAAAATTTGGGCGCAAATTGGAAGACAACTGGAGCAGGGCAGGAGGAAGAACAGATTCCATAGTGATGGTTATTCTGACCTGTGATCTTTGTTGAACTGAACTGCTTTCTCTAGACACCATTGTTACCAAAGGAAATAACACGTTCTCAGTCTACCTTACTGCTTATCGGTTGTGTGGGTCACAGGAATTGGGGGTGAGGGACTGCTTTAAAGGATCAGGATCAGGGTGAACAAAAACTACTGAGGCTTCAGTGTCAGTTATCCCAAAGCCCACATCGATTGTGTGATTCTGTAAATCCTAAACTAAATAGGAGCAACCGTCTCTGATATTTATTTTGTGCGACTGTCAACCTCAAATGCCATCCTGAATTCTGTATATGACAGTCACCAGCCTGCCTGATACCTCGTTGATCGACTTTTCCCCATGCTACCAAGCCATGCCAGGTGGACAGAACAATTCTCCAGGGAAGCCAAGAGCTATCACTTCCTTTTTCTACCTAATATATTTTGTCCCTGATAATCCATTTGTCATATCTGACTTTCTCCTTCCTGCTGGCAGCAACCAGAGACCCTCTCATTACACGACTGCCAGGTTTGCTTCAGCCTGAACTGCTGCAGAATTAACTTGTCATGTCCGCTCCACCATGGGAACCTGTGGGGAGTCAGAGCCTCAAACAGCTGAAACACCGGAGGGAAAGATTTCCTGCCTGTCTCACTTCCATCTACAGCACCATGGTGCACTCATTAAGGCGTGGGTTGGAAGGTGCTATAGACAGATACGCGCACTGGGAGGATGGAACCTGCTTTTGAACTTAAAACCATGAAGACACGTGTTTGTAAGACATTTTGCACCTTTCAAAAACATTCTCAGATGTGAACAGGCCATAGGGAGGTGATTATTTCTCTTTTCACAGAGTTAGTTGCCATGTTGCAGAGAAATCTCTGAACTCTAAATCAGGAGCATCAGTTTAAGTAATGTCTCTGCTACTAACCAATTTATCAATCTATGCAAAGTTACTTAACTTTTCCAATCCGCAGCTTTTTCAGCTCCAAAATGAAGGCAATAAAACCAATGTTAAAGGCACTTGATTAAATGAAGATATTAAATGCTTTATAAATTTTGAAGTACTATACACATCGATCCATTAGGATGATTATACTATGAAAGCGCAGCTCAAGCTGCAATGAAGCATCAGAGAAGGCAGGTAGGGCAGTGGGTGCCCCGGAGTTCTGGTCTCTACTCCTTTTTCTCACTCTGTGGCCTGGGGTGAGTCATTTAACTTTCTTGTGGATCCATTATTTCATTTATAAAACGGAAAATAATAAAAACTATTTTGAGATTAATTTTGAGGATTACATTAGATAGTGCAGGTAAAGTATTCTAGCACACAGGCTAGCATACCATAAACCTTCAACGAACAGTTCGCATCATCATCAGTATTAACTTCTGGTTAACTAAACATCTGGACCAGAGTCCATGATTTCTGGTTTAGTGCTGCAGAAGTTTCTGTTAATTTGATGAACCTGACTTCAAACCACAGAATATTAGAACTAGGAGCACACGATACCATAGCTACCTTTCTGTTTCTACAGACAAGAGATCTGGAGCTTACATAAGAAAGCGAATTGTTCAAGGTCATAGATGGAATAGGAAAAGAGCTCAGACTTCAGCCCAGTTCTGGGCTCTCAGTCCAGTATGCCTTCCACCATCCCATGGAGACAGAGACTCACAGATCTTGGAACCGCAAAGACTGTGAGAGATCATCTAGCTCATTCCATCGCCCATGGTGGAAGGAAGTCACAATGCAGAGAAAGAAAATGGCATGGCATGGTTACATAGGGGCTGGAAGTCATTTCAGTGTATACATATCTTAACACACCATACTGTACACCATGAATATACCCAATTTTTATATGTCAATTATGCTTTAAAGCTGGAAGAAAGGAGAAAAAATATATATATGATACACTTTGTCCGTCTGATTCCAGAGCTTAAGGACATATTTACTCAGTTTCTATTTTTCTCACTTGTGGAAACTCAGGCTTAGAGAGGCAAGTGATTTTCCCATGGTTTAACAGTGATGAAGAGAAGAGCTGGCAGGACTGCCTAGTCCTCCCACTCCAAGTTCACAGCAATTTCCATCAGGTAGTATTTCTCTTATGCAACCTTCACGTGTATACTTTCTGGCCAAGTCTTCCTTGGATTTAACATTCTGGGATTCACATACAAAGTGTTTGGAACATTGGGACCAGGTCATGGTGGACAGGGATTATGCTATTCTGCCTACATGAGAAGTAAGAGAAATGGGGAATAGGATTTGGCAGGTGTCAGGCAACTAGACTGTCAAGGGAATGAAAACTACTTCCTTTAAAACTGGTGTAAGGGGCTAGCTATGCTTAGCTTGAAGAGTAGAGTCCTACCTTTGTGTGGCAAGGTAGGTTTCCATGAAGTTTCCATGAAACTTCTTTACAAATTTTCTGAAAAATGCCAGGTAGAAGAGGAAATAGGTTAACAAACGTGTTATTTGGATTCTGGAGTCAGAGAGCCCTGGTTTTGAATTCTGACTTTACTGCTTCATAACCATGAAAGCTTCCTCAAGTCAGCTGGCCTCAGATTACCTACATCTGTCGCACATAATCCAGTATGAATAATGATGCCCTTGTCCACCTGACTCCAGAGTCCATGTGACTGCACTGAGGATTAAAATGAGCTAAATCCCAATCCAAGGTTCTTTCCACCTCAATGTTCAAAGACCTTACAAGGCCCTAGTCAATTTCCGAAGTAGGAGGTAGGATTACAAAGAATTTCCAAAGCCCTAAATTGTGTGATTATATGTGCCACTTCAATAGACTCAGATATAGACATCATCTATGTCACGTCTGTAATATTTGAGGGGGGAATTATGTCATTTAATGTGTATCAGCATCTGTAAATGATACAGGTGCATTTAATTATGTGGGTTCTCCGTAGAATTACTTTGCCCAAGAAGGTCGTCAGCAGTAGTTTTCATAAAACAACTCTAAAGTTCCTTTGAGACTTCCTGGTATGCAGAGATAAAAAGGCTAATTTCATTATTTTTCAAAAGGAAAAAAAAAAAAGTCTTACTCAGTAGTGGGAGATCTCCCAGTATTCACAACCTGGCACTCCACTCTAAAACAGGCTCCACTCAGGTGGGTGCGGTGGCGCACGCCTTTAGTCCCAGCACTTTGGGAAGCTGAGGTGGGCACATCATCTGAGGTCAGGAGTTCGATATCAGCCTGGTCAACATGATGAGACCTCCACCTCTACTAAAAATATAAAAATTAGCTGGGTGTGGTGATGTGTACCTGTAGTCTCAACTAGTTTGAGGCTGAGGCAGAAGAATTGCTTGCAGCCAAGAGGTGAAGGTTGCAGTGAGCCAAGATCATGCCACTGCACTCCAGCCCGGGTAACAGAGTGAGACTCCATCTCAAAAATTAAAAAAATAAAAAGGCCCCATTCCTTTCTTGGATTCCCCATTCCTTTGCTTCTGGTTTCTTCTCTGGGTTGGCCTATTCAGATTGATGTTTGGGTTCGTTGAACTTCATGATTAGTTTTCAATTTATTCTTCCTTGATCTGGCCCACCCCTGTGCCAAGCTCAGGTTTTCCCAAATCGTCTTCTTCTTGCTGCTGCTGCTGCTACTACTATCACTCATTCATAGAGAAGTTGCAACTCATTGAGATGGAAATAAAAAATGATTGTATTTTTTCAGGACCTCTCCCCAAACTCTGTTATATATATTTTACTGAAATTTTATGGAAATACATATATACAGAAGCATGCACAAATTAAAATAAATTCCACAAAGCGAAAAACATTTGTAATTACGACACAGGTCAAAAAATAGAGCATTACCAGAAAAATAGGAGCTCCCTTTGAGCTCTCTCATGGGCGCTATTTCCTCCTCTTCTCCAAAGCTAACTATTATTTTTACTTCTAACATCAGAAACTATTTCTATATTTTATGAAGATTACTATAATGGAGTTATACAGTATGCATTATTTTGTGTCAAACATTGTTTACTCAACATTACCTAATATCCACTCACATTGTGAATAGCAGTATTTTGCTCATTTTCATGGCTTAATAGTACTCTATTTTTATGCATATGCCGTAAGAGATCAAATCAGTCTTCTGTTGGACATTTAGGTTTCCAGTTTAGAGCTATTATAAATAATGCTGCTATAAAACATCTCCACATTTAATTTAGTGCACATATGTATACTTTTCTGTAAGATATATATCTAGGGGTAGCATCGCTAGGTCATAATATCTGCATATATTCTGTTTTAGGAGTTATTGCTAAATAGTTCACCAAATTGGTTGTACTAATTTACACTCCCACCAGCAATGTTTGAGAATGCCGATTTCTCCAATTCCATGCTAAAATTTAGTATTGTCAGTCTCTTTAAGTCATGCTGGTGGCTGTGTAGGATTATATTATTTATCTCATTTTATTTAATTTACATTTTCCCAATGAATAAGGAGACCAAGCACATTTTCATATGCTTCTTGGAATAGTTGAATGTCTTAATTTTTGAGGTCTTTTGAAGTTGGTTTATTGAAATACAGTGACATACAGAAGCATTCGCTTATTTTTCTATTGGTTTTTTTTTTAATTGACTGATAGGAATATACACATATAACATATATATTCTTTTTTGGTTTTTTGAGACGAAGTTTCACTCTTGTTGCCCAGGCCGGAGTGCAATGGCTAAATCTCGGCTCACTGCAACCTCCAACTCCTGGTTCAAGCGAGTCTCCTGCCTCAGCCTCTTAAGTAGCTGGGATTACAGGTGCCTGCCACCACGTGCAGCTAATTTTTTGTATTTTTAGTAGAGTCAAGGTTTCACCATGTTGGCCAGGCTGGTCTTGAACTTTTGACCTCAGGTGATCCACCCACCTTGACCTCCCAAAGTGTGGGGATTACAGGTGTGAGCCACTGCACCCAACCTACATGTATTTTATATATATATATATTCTGAACTTGAATTTTTATGTATACAACATACATATAGCAAATATCTTCATCCACGTAATTCTTTCAATGAATATAAATTTCTCAATTTAACGTAATCCAGTCTAGCAAAATATTGGTGTATTTTGTGTCCTAAGTCTTTGCCTGTCTTTCACATTTAAATCTAAAATCTCATCAATGATTCTTGTGAACAGTGTGGCATATGTCATTAACTTTTTAAAATTTAGAAATTCAGTAGACTCAGAACCAATTATTAAACAGCCTTTTCTATGTTGTAGGCCAGCTTTATCAATACCACACAGTGGCCCTTTAAAATTCCCAGTCATGAGGCTAACACTAACCCTAACTCCTGCTACTCCCTAATCCTTCCCCTTCCTGTTACATCACTGCCTAGAGCTTTACCTCTTTCACTTTGTCCTACCAAAATTCAATCTCCCCAGCTCCACCCCTCTCAACTGCCCAAAACCATCTCCTCCCAACATCTCACTCCTGTAGCTTACGTTGGAGGAAAAGGAGAAAACAGTTTTCAAAGAATTCTGATATCTGGTGTATTAATCCAGTTGGGTTACAATAACAAAATACAGTAGTTTCCCCTCATCAGCAGGAAATGTTCCAAGAACCCCAGTGGACACCCTGAAACCTTGGACACCACAGAACTGTATATATACTATATGTTTTCCCATACATACATACCTAGGATTGGGTTACATTTATAAATTAGGCATGATACTCTGTTTTGTGGCTATTGAGTAAAATAACGGTTACTTGAATTCAAGCACCGCAATACTGACAGTCAATCTGGTAATGGATTTGGCTGCAAAGTGACTAACTCAGGTAGCATGTACAGCATGGATCTACGGGACAAATGGGATGATCCACATTCCAGGGTGGACAGAGTGGGACAGTGCAAGATTTCATTATGCTGCTCAGAACAGCACATAGTCTAAAACTTATGAATTGTTTATTTCTAGATTTTCTCTTTTAATCTTTTCAGACCCCAGTTGACTAAGGATAACTGAAACCATGGAACACAAAACCTGAAATAAGGGGTGACCACTGTACCATGGGGCGTGGCTTAAACAACAAAAATTTATTCTCTCATAGCTCTGAAGTCTGGGAGGTCCAAAAGCAAGCTGCCACCTGATTTGGTTTCTGGTGAAGAATATATATGTATATTCCTCGTAGATGGCTGCCTTTTCCTTGTATTCTCCCATGGTAGAGAGAAAAAGAGCGAGCTTTCTGGTGTCTCTTCTTATAAAGATACTAATCCTACTGTATCACCCCCCAATTATGATTGCAATTAACCTTAATTACCTCCTTACAGACCCTACTTTCAAGCACAGTCACATTAGCAGTTAGGGATTTAACATACAAATTTAGGGGGAAGACACAGTTTAGTCCATAATATTCTGCCCCAAACCCCTCAAATTCATGTCTTCATCACATGCAAAATACATTCCTTCCATCCCATCTGCCACAAAGATCTTAACTCATTCCAGCATCAACTCTGAAGTCTGAAGTCCAAAGTCTCATCTAAATATCATCTAAATCAGATATTAATGACACTTAAGGTATGGTTAAACCTGAGACAAAATTCTTTAGTTTTGAAACTGTGAAACCAGACAAGTGATGTCTTCTGAAGTACAATAGTGGGACAAGTGTTAAGATAGACATACCCATTCCAAAAAAACAAATAGGAAAGAAGGAAGGGGCGATGGGTCCCTGATATGGTTTGGCTGTGACCTCACCCAAATCTCATCTTGAATTCCTGTGTGTTGTGGGAGGGATGCAGTGGGATCTAATTGAATCATGGGGCAAGTGTTTCCACTGCTGTTCTTTCGATAGTGAATAAGTCTCATGAGATCTGGTGGTTTTAAAAAGAGGAATTCCCCTGCAAAACTTGCTCTCTTTGCCTGCTGCCATCCATGTACGATCAGACTTGCTCTTCTTTGCCTTCTGCCATGATTGTGAGGCTTCCCCAGCTACCTGGAATTCCAAATCCAATTAAACCACTTTTTGTAAATTGCCCAGTCTCTGGAATATCTATCAGCAGCATGAAAATGGACTAATACAGTACATTGGTACCAGCAGAGTGGGGCATTGCTGAAAAGATACCTGAAAATGTGGAAGCGACTTTGGGACTCGGTAACAGTAAGAGGTTGGAACAGTTTGGAGGGCTCAGAAGATGACAGGAAAATGTGGGAAAGTTTGGAACTTCCTAGAGACTTGTTGAATGTCTTTGACAAAAATGCTGATGGTGATGTGAACAATAAGGTCCAGGCTGAGGTGGTCTCAGATGGAGATGAGGAACCTGTTGGGAACTGGAGCAAATGTGACTCTTGTTATGTTTTAGTAAAGAAACTGGCAGCATTTTGCCCCTGCCCTAGAGATTTGTGCAACTTTAAACTTAAGAGAGATGATTTAGGGTATCTGGTGGAAGAAATTTCTAAGCAGCAAACTATTCAAGAGGTGACTTGGGTGCTGTTAAAAGCATTCAGTTTCATAAGGAAAGCAGAGTATAAAAGTTTGGGAAATTTGCAGCCTGACAATGCAATAAAAAAGAAAAATCCCATTTTCTGAGTAGAAATTAAAGCCAGTTGTAGAAATCTGCATAAGTAACAAGGAGCCAAATGTTAATCCCCAAGACAATGGGGAAAATGTCTCCAGGGCATGTCAGAGGTCTTCATGGCAGCGCTCCCATCACAGGCCCAGAGGCCTAGGAGGAAAAAGTGGTTTTGTGGGCCCAGTCCAGGGTCCCACTGCTGTGTGCAGTCTAGGGACTTGCTGCCCTGCATCCCAGCTGCTCCACATGTGGCTGAAAGGGGCCACTGTAGTGCTCAGGCCATGACTTCAGAGGATGCAAGCCTCAAGCCATAGGAACTTCCATGTGGTGTCGAGCCTGTGAGGGCACAGAAGTCAAGAACTGAGGTTTGGGAACCTCTCCCTAGATTTCAGAAGATGTATGGAAACACTTGGATGTCCAGGCAGAAGTTTGCTGCAGGGGCGGGGCCCTCATGAAGAAGCTCTGCTAGAGCAGTGCAGAAGGGAATTGTGGGGCCAGAGACCCCACACAGAGCCCCTACTGGGGCAATGCCTAGTGCAGCTGTGAGAAGAGCACCACCATCCTCCAGACCCCAGAACGGCGGATCCACCAACAGGTTGTATCATGCACCTGGAAAAGCTGCAGACACTCTACACCAGCCACTGAAAGCAACTATGAGGAAGTCTGTACCCTGCAAAGCCACAGGGGCAGAGCTACCCAAGATCATGGGAACCCACTTCTTGCATCAGCATGACCTGGATGTGAGACATGGAGTCAAAGGAGATCATTTTGGAGCTTTAAGATTAGACTGCCTCACTGGATTTTGGACTTGCATAGGGCCTGTAGCCCCTTTGTTTTGTTTTAGCCAATTCCTCCCTTTTGGAATGGCTGTATTTACCCAATGCCTGTACCCCCACTGTATCTAGGAAGTAACTAACCTGGTTTTGATTTCACAGGCTCATAGGTGGAAGAGACTTGCCTTGTCTCAGATGAGAGTTTGGACTGTGGACTTCTGAGTTAATGCTGAAATGAGTTAAGACTTTGGGGGACTGCTTGAAAGGTATGATTAGTTTTGAAATGTGAGGTTTGGGAGAGGCCAAGGGTGGAATGATATGGGTTGGCTGTGTCCCCACCCAAATCTCATTTTGAATTTGTGTGTGTGTCATGGGAAGAGCCTGGTGGGAGGTAATTGAATCACAGGGCAAGTCTTCCCCATGCTGTTCTCATGACAGTGAATATGTCTCATGAGATCTGATGATTTCAAAAGGAGGAGTTCCCCTGCAAAAGCTCTCTTTGTCTGCTGCCATCCATGTAAGACGTGACTTGTTCTTCCTTTCTTTCTGCCATGATTGTGAGGCATCCCCAGCCATGTAAGTCCAATTAAACCTGTTTTGTAAATTGCTCAGTCTCAGGTATGTCTTTATCAGCAATATGAAAATGGATTAATACAGTCCCAAACGAATCCAAAACCTAGCAAGGCAAATTCCATTAGATATTAAGCCTCATGAATAATCCTCAGTTAGCTTGATGTCCCACCTTCCAAACTCACTGGAATGGCAGCATCACCCTCCTGGCTCTGCTGGGCAGCCCTTGTCCTTTAGCTGGGCGCAGCAATCCCCCTGCCCCTTTGTCTTGGCAAGATTTGTCTCTCAGAAGTCACCATCCATAAGGGTTTCTTCAAGGGCTCCCCTCCCAAAACCGAGGAGAAAACATCCTTGTCTCCTGGGCCTGTGTGGGAGTGGCAGCTCTGAAGCCCTCTGAATCTCTTTCAGAGTGATTTTCTCTTTTCTTGAATAATAGTGTATGTTTGCAGTCAGATACCTCTATGGTTTAATCTTGTAGATTCCAGGAAGTCCAACAGCTGTCCTTCACTCCATATTCCACTTTCTCTGCCTGCTTTAGTTCAAACTGGCAGTGTCTGCTGGTATCATCCCATCTCTATTCCTGACTTCTATTGAGATGACTGATTCGGTCTACAAGTCATATTCATGATCTCCTTATCAAATGGTTGTTTAGTCTCATATTTAGTGTTCTCTTCAGAACAAGGTTTCTTGTTTTTGTTTTTTTTCAATATGGATACTCTGAGAATTTTTCAAGTCTTCAAGTTCTGACTTGGTTTTGCTTAACAATCTCTTATTTAATCCATCCTTCTTCTTTCACAATTTACTATAAGCATTCAGAAGAAACCAAGCCTCTCCTTCAACACTTAGCTTAGGAAACTCCTCAGACTGAGTCCTACAGAAATGAATCCCATGTTGTTGCCCAAAAGTTCCACCTTCTGCAAAACACTAGAACACATTTCAGTGAAGTTCTTTGCCATATTATAACAAGGATTATTTTTTTCCATTTACAATAACAAATTCCTTATTTCCACCTGAGACCTTACCAGTACCTCCCTTAACATCCACACTTTTATAGTATGCATCTCAGAACTCTTCCAGCCTGTACGTCTGAGTTCCAAAGCCACTTTCACATTTTTTAGGCATTTATTACAGCAGCACCACAGTTCTTAATACCAAAATATGTATTAGACTGCTTGGGCTGCTATAACAAATTATAGATTGGGTAGCTTAAATAACAAAAGATTCCAGCTGATTTAATTTCCATTCAGAGCTCTCTTCCTGGCTTGTAGATGGCCACCTTCTTGCTGTGTCCTCACATGGTGGGGAGGACAAGCTCTCTGGTATCTCTTCCTATAAGGACACTAATGCTCAGCATCAGGGCCCCAGCCTTATGACCTCATTTAATTTTAGTTACCTCCTTGTAGGCCTATCTCACACTAGGGGCTAGGGCTTCAACATATGAATTTTGGGAACACAGTTCAGTCCATAGCATCTGTTAATAGAAGTCTTACCATTTTATTCTGTTTTATCAAGATTGTCTGGGTGATTCTCAGTCTTTTCAATTATTATATAAATTTTAGAATCAACTTTTTGATTTTCACAAAAATATTCTAGTAGTATTATTATAATTAACCTGTAGATCAGACTGAAGAGAAGTGGTATCTCAAAAATAGTCTTCCAATTTATAAATATGGTATATCCTTCCAATTATGTTTGGTACATTTTATTTGTGAATTTCTGTTTGTATATTTTGATGTTGCACTGTCTGATACATATTCACAATTGTTGTATCCTATAGGTGTATTAACCTTTTATCATATCTATTTATCTCAAATAATTTTCTATTATAAATTCAACATTCTCTTATATTAATATAGCTTTGATAGACTGTTTCCACTCCTCTAAATACTTTTATTTAAGGAATATCTCAAACGCAGTTGTGGCACTTAATTCAATTTTAAAATCCTAGTCTTTAATTGGAATATTTAATCCATTTACATTTAATGTAACTATTAAATATAAACCCAAATTTGAGATTATAACTAAAATCTTACTATTTGGTTCTTTTTTTCCTCTATTTTCTTTTTCTCTGATCTCTTGACTTTGGATTTAAAAAAAAAAAATCATGTCTCCTACTAGCCTGCCAATTGTATTTTTTTGCTAGTCTTTTAATGGTTACAAAAGACATCAAAAATTTATCATTTGCTTATCACAATCTAATAGAAATTATTTTTAAGCCACTTCCCAGACAGTGCAAAGGTAGAAGTATTTTATATCTATTTAACTCACTTGCATTTTGTATTACTGTTGTCACATATTCTACATAGAGCTTAAGCCCTAAGTATTATTCTTTTATTTTATTGATTTATATGTTTAAATCTTCATTTTTTCATTTACATACATATTTACTTTTTCTGTTGCTTTTCATTTCTTCTTTAATTCTGTGCTATTCTGAGAATATTTTCTCCTACATGAAGACATTTGGTATTTCATTTAACATGGGTAAGATGGTAATAAATTCAGCTTTAATTGAAAATGTCTATTTCACTTTAATTTTTGCTCTGAGCAGAAATTTAAGTTGGCAGTTATTTTAGCACTTTGAAATTTGTCTTCCGAACTCTGTCATTTCTATTGAGACACAAGTTTTCTTACTGATGCTCTTTTGAATGTAATGTGTCTCTTTGGCTACCTTAAAAGTTTTCTATTTGTCTTTGGTTTTCAACTAACTTACTATAATGTACCTACATGTGTTTTCTTTATATTTATTAATCTAGAGATCTGTTAAACACCTATAATCTGTGACTTAAGTTTGTCATTCATCAGTTTAGAGAAATTCTCAGCTAATATCTATCTATATATGTATAATATATATCTATATATGTATATATGTATATATCTATATATGTATATATATCTATATATGTATATCTATCTATATATGGATATATGTATATCTATCTATATATGGATATATGTATATATATCTATATATGGATATATGTATATCCATATCCGTATATGTATATGTATATCCATATCCATATATACATATGTATATGTATATATCAATATATCTATATGTGTATATATCTATATATCTATATATGTATATATATCGATATCTATGTATATATATCTATATCTATATATATCTATATATATTTTTTTTTTTTGAGACAGAGTCTTGCTCTGTCGCCCAGGCTGGAGTGCAGTGATGCAATCTGGGCTCACTACAAGCTCTGCCTCCTGGTTTCACACCATTCTCCTGCCTCAGCCTCCAGAGTAGCTGGGACTACAGGTGCCTGCCACCATGCCCGGCTAATTTTTGTTGTATTTTTAGTACAGACAGGGTTTCACCATGTTAGCCAGGACGGTCTTGATCTCCTGACCTCGTGATCCACCCGCCTCAGCCTCCCAAAGTGCTGGGATTACAGGCATGAGCCACCATGCCCGGCCGCTAATATCTCTTCAAATATTGTTTCTGCTTTATTCTTTCTCACCTCTATTCTGTGATTTCCCTTATACATGTTAGCCTTTTTCACTCCTGTATTGTATATTTTGCATTTTTTTCTGCATACCCCCATTAATTTTTCTCTTCATGCTCGTCTGGATTTTTTTAAAATAGATCATCATTATAGTCTTTCTTTGCTCCCATCTAATCTACAGTTAAACCAAGTAATCAAATTCTAAACTTTAGTTACTGCATTTGTGTATTCTAAAATTTTAATTTGTTATTTTTCTGGTTCCCAGGTCTATGATGAAAATTTCCAATTTGCCTAAATCTTTGAGCATGTTAGTATTCTTAAAGTCCATTTTTAATAACTTTAGTATCTATATCTCCTGTGCGTATCTTTTCATTATTGGTTTTTCTCTTGTTTTGTCTTCTAGTACACTTGGTAATATTTTATCGAATGCTGTTTTCCATTATTTTTAATGGGGGCTCTGAAAAATATTTTTTCTAAAGAGAGGATGTTATTTTATTTGTAATTGGCAACAAGGGTAAAGAGAGATCATCTCTGTTCTTATTTTATAAAGGATTTTGTAAAGGCTAGTCTATTTCCAGTTTTCTTTCTAGCAGAAGGCAGCCCTTCAGGATTTTTTTTTTAAGTCTCACTCTGCCATGTAGGCTGGAGTGCAGTGGCGCAATCTTGGCTCACTGCAACCTCTGCCTCCTGGGTTCAAGCAATTCTCCTGCCTCAGCCTCCTGAGTAGCTGGGATTACAGGTGCACACCACCACGCCTGGCTAATTTTTTTGCATTTTTAGTAGAGACAGGGTTTCACCATGTTGACCAGGATGGTCTTGATCTCCTGACCTCATGATCCACCCACCTCGGCCTCCCGAAGTGCTGGGATTAGAGGCATGAGCTACCGTGCCTGGCCACGATTCTTAATTAAAATTTATTTGTCTGGTTTCCAGTTCTATGATGAAAATTTTCAATTCATCTAAATTTTTGAGCATGTTAATATTTTTAAAGTCCATTTTTAATAACTGTAGTCTCTTTTTTAAATTAAAAATCCTGAACGGCTGCCTACTACTAGTGTGGTTTCTCCCTGATGAATCCTAAAAGTCTAATTATTTTCCCCCTCTATGTCCATGAGATGGGTGGAAGCTTTGCCTGTCTATGCAGACTTCTAACCACCACTTTTTGCTCAGCCTCTCAAGTCCCTCTTTTGAATCAGCAAATGTTACAGGGAAAAGTAGCACCCAAAGTCAGGTTGACTTCTCTCTGGAATCTTGACCCCTCAAGTCTTAGCTGTCTTGATAGCTCTCCAGTTCCTTCTTATTTTTGTCCAGTTTTTCTTCTTGTTCTTGGAGGGTTCATCTGAACAAGCTAATTCATATTTGCCAAAAGTAGAAATTCCAACTGTTATCACAGGAAGTCCCCTCTCCCCTTAATAGTGTGTTTCTTAATGGCATAGTGGCACCAACCCACCACTCTTTCACCATTTTAATGTCTAACACTTTGTGTCTCATTCAAAGCTCTTCCCTGTTTCAGAGCAGCCTAAGCTACAAGTGGGGTGGTGGGGAGAAATCCTCTATTTTACCTTGCTTCTTCCCCGAGTATCCTCTGGTGTTAAGCTAGCAGGAGAAACAAGGAGACAGAAGTGTCATTACATGAAGGCATATACCATAGTGAGTTGGCAGGTCTTTTTCTGTCAATAGCCTCTGCTCCTTGACATTGATGGGCTTAAGGATTCTTTGTGTAACAGTCATCAAAATACTGACTCTTTCATGAAAAACACTTGTTGGTTAATCACCAGCCCTGTGGGTCTCCAAACCCTAAATACATACACCATCTTGGAGAATGAAAGACCTAGATCAAGTTTGTGCTTTCCACCTTCCCAATCCCTAATACCACTGATATACTACATAAACTTTTTGTTCGTTTGTTTGTTTGTTTTTTTGAGATGGAGTCTCGCTCTGTCACCCAGGCTGGAGTGCAGTGGTGTAATCTCGGCTCACTGCAACCTCCACATCCCAGGTTTAAGCAATTCTCCTGCCTCAGCTTCCCCAGTGGCTGGGACTACAGGCTAGATTCCCTTCATCTAGACCTCAGTCTTACTGAGCACGAATTTAGCAAAACAGCTCAAGCCCAGTTGGCTTCTGGGGTTTCTTTTCAATCCATACGAAACTTATATATCTTATCCATGCCAAATAGTAGACTATGGAACTGCCTTGTTGGAGGAGAGAATAAGGCTGATTTTAATCAGCTCTGCCATCTCTCTCCTGTTTCTTTCTCTTAATCCCAACATTAGTAAACATTCTACAGATCCAGCGGCACTATAAAATTTCTAGGAGAGTTGTACTAGACCCCAGGGCAGAGGACAGAGGTGTCAGTATGGATATATCGACACTCTCCTTTGTCCCTCTGGTTTGAATGGAGAAGTGAAGTAATGAGCAATGGGAGAAAGCCTCTCTTCATAAGCAGTTTTCTCCCCAGAGCAGCTTGTCTCATTTGCAGCCCTCATCTAATATTGACTGTCTGAGGACTCTAGTGGGTGAGAGCTACGGACAGTGTCTAAACTGGTGCCTTGTAGTTAGCCCTCTGATATGGGGGCTGATATCAACTGATGGCAGTTTTGTTAAGTTGCAATATGTGATACTTATCTTCTTTACTCAGTTTTGGACCTTAGCCAAAATTCTAGAAGAATAGGAAAAACCCTGCTTGACACCCTTAGAATAGCAATTGTTATTAATAACACATAGGAAAATACAATACATATTATATTAAGCATGCTTCAAATACTTTGCAGTTCAACCTCTACCTTAATTTAATCTTTATAACCACCCTATGAGGAAGATACTATAGTAGTCCTCCCTTATCCACAGTTTCACTTTCCATGGTTTGTTACCTCTGGTCAACCATACTCCAAAAATATTAAATGGAAAATTCCAGAAATAAACAATTCTTAAGTTTTAAATTGCATGCTGTTCTGGTAGTGTAATGAAATCATAGGCCATCCTGCTTGAGTCATGAATTATCTCAGTTTACAGCATATCTGTGTTGTATACACTACTTGAATTAGCCACTTAATAGCCATCTCAGTTATCAGATTGACTGCCAGGGTATCACACTGTTTGTACTTACGTAACCCTTATTTTACTTAATAATGGATATAAAGTGCAAGAGTACTGTGCTTAATTTATAATTTAAACTTTATCATGGATATGTATACACAAGAAAAAACATAGTAAATATAAGGTTCTAGACTATCCATCTTCAGTCATCCACTGGGAGTCATGGAACCTATTCCCTGCTGATAAGGCTATCCCCAAGTTACTGGTAAGGAAACAACAGGATAGAGAAGAAATTATCCCCAAGATCACACAATTTGTAAAAAGTAGGCTGCATTCAAATGCAGTCACCCAAGATCTTCAACTCAATGCAGAAAGTTTCCACCGTCTGAAAGAAGTAACAACCTCCCATGCCCAACGAGGTCACCAGCAAGTTGACCAGAGCAGGTGGGGAATGCAGGTGCAATGAACAAATACATCCAGCTCCTCCGAGGACAGTTCCCCTTTCCCTCCACTCCCTATGCCCACAGAGGACAGAAATACATAATGAAAGCTGAAAAACTACTTTTCAAACACCTTAAACTCAACTGATAATGATGAATTATCTGAGGTTCTGTCACTCAACTGCAGGAGCACATTCTTCCCTTCTTCTTGAAAACATTTCTTTAAAAAATCCTGCTACCCATAGATGTTTCAACTCCACCTACTGCAGGTTTCATTTGCATTTCAAAAAGGCAAGGAACCAAATATCCTGTCATCTCCTGAGCATAGAGAAGAAGAAAATCCCTCTGCTTCCCTCAGGAAAGCCCACTGTGACCTCAACAGCCCCCTCCCCCATGAGGGGCAGAGGATGTTGCCTAGAGACAAGCCAGAGGCTGGAGCTGGGGACAGAGCCTGTGGGGAGTCTTGATGTAGTCTTGTCCTTGAAATCCATTCACGGCTCTGCTGAGATCTCGGGAAAGAGTCTCTTTATAAATATGGGTTTTTGTTTTTTCAAATTTTGGAAAAGTCACCTCTGGTTTTAAAACAATTACTTCCCGCTCCAAACAGATTAGTCACTTCCCAAGAACCATGCTTCTCTCTTTTTCTTCTCCTGTCAGAGTCACCTGGACTCAGATCCCAAAGGATGCTTTTCAGGAGAGGCACACAACAGAGAAGTCAAATTTTTCCCTTAAGGACAAAAGATGTTACAGCTTTATTTCTGTGAAAGTATCTACAAAATCTTAAATTGCAATGCGCGTATTCTTTGACTGTGTTATTCTACTCTCTTTTAAATAAGAAATATATGAAATGATCTTCATTGCAATACTGTTTATAATAGCAAAAAAAGCTATGATCAACCAAATAATGTAGTAATTAAATTCTCTATGATACACCTAATATATGTAATAAAATATTGTGTAGTCATTAAAGACAATGATATGCAGTAATATAGAAAATGTTCCATGATATAATTTTGGAGGGAAAACAAGATACATAACAGTATGTAGGTCTTTCAGTTCTGGTACAATGTTGAATTGAGATAATGCAACCATTCCAACTACATTTCTACCACACTCCAGTAAAAGCCATTACAATTTTGGGTAAACTATAACCCACCTTTCCCTCATGCCCTCACAAAAATTAATAGCTAAGTTCAAAAGAAGAGATAGTCAGGTACCAAACACGAAGAAATTAGAGACAGTGAGTTAGGTTTCATGCTGTATGAAGGCAGCCTGAAAAGGAATCAGATTCAGACATGTGTCATGACAGCTGGGGGCTGGAATCTTCATGTGCACGCAGAGATTTAAGCTGGGACTGAGAACCACACAACTTGAAGAGCTAACCCTCAAAGAAGAACTTAAAAATGATGCCAATGAAAATAAGAAAATGAATCTTATTTCTGCTTTGATGCTAGAGTGGAAAAAGAAAATTTCCTATGAGAACATAAAATCCCAAATCTGAGCTATACGTAAATATGAAACCTGAATATATGCCTTTCCAATGGTATAAGGATCTTCAGTTCAAGAAACTGATCTGCAATTGGCCCTATGCTTGTAAATATTTTTGGAGATCACAGAAGAAACTAATGTAGACCCATACTCAAGAGAAACTTCTATAACCCAGGTGTCATCAGACTATCCAAAAAAAATAAAATCCCCAAAGATGATGAGCTCACAGAAAAATAACTACAAACCCCTTCAGGTAATAATCCACCATGGAGGTTATTCAGAAGACATAACAGCTTCAGCACCTACAAGAACTTGAGTTAAGAGAACAATCTGTATGAGACCCTAAACAGTTATGTTTAAAATGACTAGAGAGATAAAAGTATAGAAACCATATGAAAAGACAGAGCTCTATGAGAAAAAATAAATAAAATGTTTAAATGTATAAAATAAGACTTTCAGAAATTAGGACCCTAGTAATTAAAATTCAAATTACTCTAGTAATTAAGAATTTTAAGTAGCCTTCAGTTTAAATATAGTCCATCTCTATTCCTAAACTTTACCACAGCAATAGTAATGTCAGAGGCATTTGAACCAGAGCAACTCCATCTTGAATAGGGGCTGGGTAAAATGAGGCTGAGACCTACTGGGCTGCATTCCCAGGAAGGTTAGGCATTCTAAGTCACAGGATGAGATAGGAGGTCAGCACAAGACACAGGTCATAAAGACCTTGCTGATAAAACAGACTGTGGTAAAGAAGCCAGCCAAAACCAAGATGGTGACCAAAATGATCTCTGGTCATCCTCAATGCTCATTATAATGCATTAGCATGCTAAAAGACACTACCACAGCACCATGACAGTTTACAAATGCCATGGCAACATCAGGAAGTTACCCTATATGGTCGGTCTAAAAAGGGGAGGAACCCTTAATTCCAGGAATTGCCCACCTCTTTCCCAGAAAACTAATGAATAACCCACCCCATGTTTAGCATATAATCAAGTAATAACTGTAAGTATCCTTAGTCCAGAGCCCATGCTGCTGCTCTACTTATGGAGTAGCCATTCTTTATTTCTTTAAAAACTTGCTTTCACTTTACTCTGTGGATTCACCTAGAATTCTTTCTTGTGAAAGATCCAAGAACCCTTTCTTGGGGTCTGGATTGGGACCACTTTCCAGTGTTAGTAAAATATAAAAATGTATACACTCAGAAGGTAAAAACATCAGGAGAAAAGATAACTTCAGAGGAAAAATGACAGCACAGTTTTTCAAAATGGAATCAACTTAACAAACTAAAGAAAGCTGAGACCCAAGATCCTGTAGGAAGGAAAGCCAAATAGAAGCAAACTGAAAACACCACTATGCATTTGCATAACCCCAGGAGAGCTTTAAAAATTGAGGTCCCTGATACCTGGGAAGGTGGGTGGGAACAAAACCAGAATTCCTTGAAACTCTATTTCAAGGGCCTTTGACCCCCAAATTCCTCATTAACTTTACACAGCCAAGTGACTCCCTCTCCTCCATTTAAACAGGAGAATGTACTACCTATAAAATTGAACTAGAGAGATTCCACCCTGTTACACAGGGCACAGAGAAAGAGTAATATAAGTGTTGAAAGAGGGAAGGTTAAAATATAGTTAGATTGGATGGATGGATCAATGGATAGATGGAGAGATAGATACATACATACATACATAGAGATAGATAATGATCATGATAAGGTACCCCACTTGGCTCCCAAATGGTATTAGGAAATTAGAGAATTCCTATCTGGAGAAAGAATTGGCAAACCCAAGAGAAGAGACCTACAAATACTGACATTTGAAAGCAGTCCACTGAATTGTATAGTTCCCTACACAAACGCTGTTTGGCAAAGCTTATCAGTCAACAAGTATCACCCAGGAGAGAGAGAGCTCAATGTTAATCAATATTAATTACTTCACACTATTAAAGTGGTAACAGACAGCAAAGAATAATCAGAATCAAACGGACACTCAAGACCTGCACAAAACAAAATCTGTAATTCAGAACTAATTGGATGAGTATAACAGCAGACATAGCATGAGTAAACTCAAAGGCAAATCAATAGGAAATATCTAAATCAAACCACAGATTAGAAAATAATGCAAAACACAAAGCAGAGTATAAAAGAGTTTTAAGATGTGGTCAAAATGCCTAACATCAATGGAGCTGAAGAACCAGAAGGAAACAAGAGCATCGGGTAGAAGAAATATTGTAAGGAATGATTTCTTAAAGCTTTCCAAATCTGATAAAAGGCATCAATACACATAGTCAAGAAAAACAAAACTCAAAAATAATGTCACAGCCAAACTAAACACTAATGAAGAGAAAATCTTTAAAAATTCACCCTCCCCACCACAAAAAAGAAAGAAATTGCTTTTGGAGAAATAAAAATGAGAAATATAACTCAATTAACAGATACTATGTGTCTTAATCAATTTTCTATTGCTTACATCTGACACTGGGTACTTTTTAGAGAACAGGAATTTATTTCTTATAGTTATGGAGGCTGATAAGTCCAAGGTCAAGGGACTATATCTGGTGAGAGCCTTCTTACAGGAGAGACTCCACAGAGTCCCAGGGCAGTGCAGAGTATCACACGGTTGGGGACTGAGCATGCTAACATGCTATCTCAGGTCTGCCTTCCCTTCTTATAAAACCATCAGCTCACCTCTCATATAACTCATTTGTCCATGAAAAGATCAATCCATTCATGAGGGCAGAGCCCACGTGTTCCAATCACCTTCTAAACGCCCTACCTCTCAACACTGGCACATTGGGGATTAAGTTTCAACATGAGTTTTGGAAGGGACAAATATTCAAAGCATAGCATTGCAAAAGCCAGAAAACAAAGAAATTGCCTCTTTAAAACTGTGAAGGAAAATGATTGCCAGCCTGGAATTCCATTCCCACAAAAATATTCTTCAAATATGAAGGTAAAATAAAGACCTTCCTGGACAAACAGAAATTGAGAGAATTTGTGACCTGCAGACACACTACAATAGATGAAGCTTTTCAAAATAAAGTTATTCCAGATGGATTCATGAAAGTGCAAGAGGAATTAAAAAGCACTGGATGGGGTAAATATATGGATCACTTTTTAAAATGTATTGACTGTTCAAGGCAAAAACAATGGCAATACCTTGTGAAAACTATACAGTATGTTGAGGGAAATGTGTGGTAATAGCAAAAAAAAAAAAAAAAAAAAGTCGGGGGGAGAAGATGTGAGTGGAAATACTGAACAATATGACTGCAAAAATCTACAGGAGATAAAGTGGACTGATAAAAATACATAATAAATACCCAAAAAGTGGTAAAAGGGAGTGATTGAACAAAGAACAGAAAACACAAATAGTGAGATGACACATTTGGTAAACTTAACCAATTATAGTAGTTAACTACAGTAAATGAAAATAAACATTCCAATTAAAAGATTATCAGCCTGGAGAAAACAAGATCTACCTATGTGCTGATTATAAGAAATGCATTTTAAACATAAAAGACAGATTAAAAGTGAAATGATGGAAAATATCTATCCTCCAATATACAAACACTAGCAAAAAAAGCATATATGGCTAATATCAGAGAAAGGTGATTTTAAGAAAAGTTGAGAGAAAAGTGTGACATATAACAAAAGAGTCAATTCAACAAGAAGATATAGCCACCCTGAAGTTGAAAGTACTTAATAATATAGCTTTAAAATATGTAGATTTCAAGTAGACAAATGATGAAAGAGCTAGACAAAACTACAACAGTGTTGGAACTCTTAACACACATTTCTTGGTGATAAAAAAAATTTAATCAGAGGAAGTTATATGGCTATAGATTTGAGCAATATGATTAACCAATCTAACCAAACTGAATACATCCAACAATGCAAAATGCACATCTACCACAAGTACACGTGGAACATGTACCAAAACTGACAATACCATAAGCTAAAATTCAAGTCTCAAAAAATGTCCAAAGAAGGAAATTATTTAAAGTGCATACTCTAATAACTGGGAGATTAAATAAGAACTCAATAAAAGAAAGATAACTAGAAAATCTCCAGATGATTGAAAATTAAATAGCATACCTCTAACCCATATATTAAAGTGTAAATCAAAATGAATTTTAGAAAATTTTAGCTGAACATTTCAAATACTAAATGTCTAAATTTATGAGATAAAACAGGACTGGGAGGGAAAGTAAATATGTGCATCTATCGAAAAAGAAGAAAAGTTGAAATTTAATAAGTAGGTTGCCAATTCATAAACTTGAAAAAAAAAAAAAAACACCAAATTAAGCCCAAAGTTAAAGGAAACAAAAATAAAAGCAAAAAAAAAAATTAAAGGGGAAAATAGACATACAAGAGGAATTCAATAGAATGAAAAGCTGAATATTTGAAAATATTAATAAAATAGATGAAAATATAACAAGACAAAGAGTAAATACAAATTACAAATATCAGGGGAAAAAAGGACATTGTTACAGAAGTTGCTGACATTTAAAGGATAAAAGCACACTATGAACATCTTTATGCCAATAAAGTTTAAGTACATGAAGTAGACAAATTCTTTGAAAACACAATTTATCAAAACTCATACTAGAAGAAATAGAAAATATGAATAGTCCTGTAACAAACTGGCTTCTCAAGTAGATTTTATTAGACATTCAGGGAATAAATACAAATCTTTTTGAAATTCTCCCAGAAAACAGAAAAACAGGAAACACTACCTTCTACTATGAGTTTGCCAAAACCTTATCCTAAAATCTGATAAGAACATTATAAAAATAAGGTCAATATCCTTCATGAATACAGAAGCAACAATCCAAAACAAAATCTTAGCAAGTCTAATTCAGTAGCTGATTTTCTTTATTCCAGGAATGCATTAAACAAATAAACAGTACAAGAAACATTATAAATAATTGAAGCCAATCTGTTGTGAAATAATAATAGAAGTTGGGGCAGGGCCAAGAGTGCCAACTAGAAGCAGCAGTGGTCTTGGAGACTCCTATCGAAGAAAACCATAATAAGTGTGTGAATCCTTCACTGGTAACCAAGGTATCCAGGTTCTCTTATCAAAATTGACTAGAAGGCTGGCATGACCCATGGAGAGAAGGAAGAGCAGTGTGGTGCAACAGCCCACCTGAGAGCCACACAGGGAAGGGGAACCCCCTATCCCCAGCCAAGGGAGGCAGTGAGTGAGCACACTACCCAGCTGGGGAAACTGCTTTTTCCACAGAACTGTGAAACCCACAGATAGGAAGATCCCACTTGCGAACCCCTGCCACCAGGGCCTTGCATCCCAATCCTGGAAAGTGCAGATACTTACAGCCTCTCAGCTGGAATCTGCGTAAGCCTACCAAATTCTCAGAAGGGGTGGGGCGGGGGGCATCCAGCATCCAGCACTGGCCTGCTGTTTAAGCCATTTGAGTTCCTTGTGGGAGGAATAGCAACTAGCACTGGGACTCACAACAGCCTAACACACTAAGCTCCCTGGGTGAGGGAAGAGCAGCACCCATTTCTACAGCTGCAGGCTGCACTTTTCCCCTGCTGGAGCCAGGGAGACTGGATGGCTTGGTCCCAAGACTTGTCCCCTTGGCCCAACACACCAGCTGTGGCAGTCTGCCACCACAGTGCCTCTTCAGGTCTAACTAACCCTGACCCATATTTCCTCAGTGAGCAGGGTTTCCCTGCAGGATCTCCAATAACTCCAGTCAGAGGCTCAGGGACAGAATTCTGATCTCCTTAGGCCTGATCCCCTAGGTGGAGGCGTACCCACAGTCTCTGCAGACTAGCAGACTTAGCCTCTCTTCCCAGTAGTTCTGAGGAATCCAGCCCAGATGAGTGGGTTTCTCCCCAGCGAAACATACCCTCTCCACCAAGGGACAAAGTGCTTCATTAAATGGGTCCTGCTCCCCATGCCACCCAACTGGGTGAGACCCTCCAACAGGGGTTGTCAGACACCCAATACAGGAACAATCCTACTAGCATCAGGTTGGTGCCCCTCGAGGTCAGAGATCCCAGAAGAAGCAGGCACCCATCTTTGCTGCTCTCCAGCCTCCTTGAGTGACATCTCCAGGCACAGGAACAAATCAGATGAATAAGTCCTGAAGTGAAGCCCCAGCAAACTGCGGCAGCCCTGAAGAAGAGAGACCTGACTACTGAAAGAAAAACAAGCAGAAAGTGACAAGAACAGCATCAACAACAACAACAAAAAGGCCCCCACAAACACTCCATCCAAGGATCAGCAGCCTCAAAGACAAACTCACAAAGATGAGAAAGAATCAATGAAAAAAATGCTGAAAACCCAAAAGGTCAGAGTGTCTCTTCTCCTGCAAATGATCACAATATCTCTCCATCAAGGGCACAGAACTGGACGGAGGATCAGATAGACAAATTGATAAAAGTAGGCTTCAGAAGATGGGTAATAAAAAACTACGATGAGCTAAAGGAGCATGTTCTAACCCAATGCAAAGAAGCTAAGAACTTTGATAAAAAGTTAAAGGACTTGCTAACTAGAATAACCAGTTTAGAGAGGAATATAAACGACCTGATGGAGCTGAAAAACACAGCATGAGAACTTCGTGAAGCATACACAAGTATCAACAGCCAAATCGACCGAGTGGAAGAAAGGATATCAGAGTCTGAAGTCCACTTACTGAAATAAGACATGCAGATGACAATGGAGAAAAAACAACGAAAAGGAATGAACAAAGCCTTTAAGAAATATGGGACTTCATACAAAGACCAAGCCTACGATTCACTGGAGTACCAAAAGGAGATGGGGAGAATAGAAAAAAGCTGGAAAACACTTCAGGATACTATCCAGGAGAATTTCCCCAACATAGCAAGACAGGCCAACATGCAAATTCAGGAAATACGGAGGACACGATTAAGACACTGCATGAGAAGATCAACCCCAAGACACAAAATCAGATTCTCCAAGGTCAAAATGAAGGAAAATATGCTAAGGGCAGCCAGAGAGAAAGGCAAGGTCACCTACAAAGGGAATCCAATCAGACTAACAGCGGATCTCTCAACAGAAACTCTACAAGCCAGAAAAGACTGTGGGCTGAAATTTAATATTCTTAAAGAAAATAATTTTTAACTCAGAATTTCATATCCAGCTAAGCTTCATAAACGAAGGAGAAATAAAATCCTTTCCAGACAAGCAAATGCTGAGGGACTTTGTTACCAGGCCTGCCCTGCAAGAGCAAGAGCTCCTGAAAAAATACATATGGAAAGGAAAAACTGGTACCAGTCACTGCAAAAACACACCAAAATATAACGATCAATGACACTACAAAGAAAGTGCATCAACTAGTGTGCAAAAAACCCAAATAGCATCATGATGACAGGATCAGATCCACAGGTAATGATACTAACCTTAAATGTAAATGGGCTAAATCCCTCAATTAAAAGATATACACTGGCAAATTGGATAAGGAGTCAGGACCCACTGGTGTGCTATATTCAGGAGACCCATGTTATTTATGTGCAAAGACACATACAGGCTCAAAATAAAGGGAGGGAGGGAAATTTACAAAGCAAATGGAAAGCAAAAAAAAAAAAAAAAAAAGGCAGGGGTTGCAAAATCCTAGCCTCTGACAGAACAGACTTTAAACCAACAAAGATCATAAAAGACAAAGAAGGGCATTACATAATGGTAAAGGGAACAATTCAACAAGAAGCACTAACTATCCTGAATATGTACGTACCCAATACAGGAGCACCCAGATTCATAAAACAAGTTCTTAGACAACTATAAAGAGACTTAGGCTCCAACTGTCAGTATTAGACAGCTCAACAAGACAGAAAATTAACAAGGATATTCAGGACTTGAACTCAGCTCTGGATCAAGTGGACCTAGGAGACATCTACAGAACTCTCCACCCCAAATCAACAGAATATAAATTCTTCTCAGTACCACATGGCACTTATTCTAAAATCGACCACATAATTGGAAGCACTACTCAGCAAATGCAATAGAACTGAAACCATAAACAGTATCTCAGACCACAGTGCAATCACATGGGAACTAAGGATTAAGAAACTCACTCAAAGCCATACAATTTCATGGAAATTGAACAACCTGCTCCTGAATGACTCCTGGGTAAATAATGAAATTAAGACAGAAATCAAGGAGTTCTTTGAAACCGATGAGAACAAAGAGACAATGCACTAGAATCTTTGGGATGCAGCTAAAGCAATGCTGAGGGAAATTTATAGCACTAAATGCCCACATCAGAAAGCTAGAAAGATCTCAAACTGACACCCTAACATCACAATTAAAAGAGCTAGAGACACAAGAGCAAATGAATCCAAAAGCTAGCAGAAGACAAGACATGACTAAAGTCAGAGAAGAACTGAAGGAAAGAGAGACACGAAAAACCCTCCAAAAAAAAAAAAAAATCAGTGAAGCCAGGAGCTGGTTTTTTGAAAAAATTAACAAAATGGATAGACTGCTAGCTAAACAAAGAAGAGAGCGAAGAATCAAATAGACACAATAAAAAATGATAAGGGATGGATATCACCACTGACCCCACAAAAATACAAACTACCATCAGAGAATAGTACAAATACTTCTACACAAATAAAGTAGAAAATCTAGAAGAAATGGATAAATTCCTGGATGCCTACGCCCTCCCAGGACTAAACCAGGAAGAAGCTGAATCTGCGAATAGACCAATAACAAGCTCTGAAATTGAGGCAGTAATTAATAGCCTACCAACCAAAAAAAAGCCCAGGACCAGATGGATTCACAGCTGAATTCTACCAGAAATACAAAGAGGAGCTTGTGCCATTCCTTCTGAAGCTATTCCAAACAACTGAAAAGGAGGGACTCCTTCCTAACTTATTTTATGAAGCCAGTATCATCCTGATACCAACACTGGGAAGAGGCACAACAACAACAACAAAAACCTTCAGGCCAATATCACTGATGAACATTGATGTGAAAATCCTCAATAAAATACTGGCAAACTGAATCCAGCAGCACTTCAAAAAGTTTATCCACCACAATTAAGTCGGCTTCATCCCTGGGATGCAAGGTTGGTTCAACATACACAAATCCATAAATGTAATACATCACGCAAACAGAACCAAAGACAAAAAACACATGATTATCTCAATCGATGCAGAAAAGGTCTTTGATAAAATTCAACATCCCTTCATGTTAAAAACTCTCAATAGACTAGGTATTGATGGACCATATTTCAAAATAAGAGCTATTTATGACAAACCCACAGCCAGTATCATATTCAATGGGCAAAAGCTGGAAGCATTCCCTTTGAAAACTGGTACAAGACAAGGATGCCCTCTCTCACGAAAACCGGTACAAGACAAGGATGCCCTCTCTCACCACTCCTATTCAACATAGTATTGGAAGTTATGGCCAGGGCAATCAACCAAGAGAAATAAAAAGTGTTCAAACAGGAAGAGGGGAAGTCAAGTTGTCTGTTTGCAGATGACATGATTTTATATTTAGAACACCCCATCATCTCAGCCCCAAAACTTCTTGAACTAATAAGCAACTTCAATAAAGTCTCAGGATACAAAATCAATGTGTAAAAATCACAAGCATTCCTTTACACTAACAATAGGCAAGCAGAGTGAGTGTGTGTAAATTGACAAGGTAATTCTAAAATTTATATAAAAGTAGAAAGAACCTCAAGTAGTTAAAAACATCTTGAACAAAATTGAAGCATTTTGACTATCATATTCCTATAATACCTATGAAGTTACAGTAAACATGAGGGTGTGATATTGGTTCAATAGAGAAATAGAACAACGGAAGACAACAGTGATTCAGAAATAGAGACTCATATACACTGTTATTTGATTGATTGGGCAACTCTGGGGGGAGAATGGTATTTTTTAAATGTGATCTTTAATTTTTTTACATTTTGTTTTTAACTGACAAACAATAATTGTATATATAAAGTACAATGTGATGGTAGGATGTATGTATACACTGTAGAATGATTAAATTAGGCTAATTAACCTATACATCACCTCACATATTTAACATTTCTTTATGGTGTAAATATTCAGAATCTACTCTTTCAGTGATTTTGAAATACACATTATTGAGTGGTGTTTTCAGTATATGATTTTGAAGCATGTGATTTACTCATATGAAAAAATAATGGTATCTTGGCTTCTGTCTCACATCAAAGATTAACTTGAGGTGGAACGAACACATACCTAAATATAAAACAGAAAAATATAAAGTTTCTGGAAGAGAACGTAGGATATCTTTATAAACTTGGGGAATAAAAAAAATTCTTAAGTAGGACACAAAACACTATAAATAAGAAAGATAATTTGCATTTCATTAAAATTAAGAACTACTGTATATCAAGAGGAATGATAAGAAAGTGAATAGGGAAGTCTCACACTAGATGAAATTCTCCATGCACGTATTTGACAGGAACTCACATCCAGAAAACATTTTTTTTTAAACTTCAACAACCCAATTTTAAAAAAGTAGAGCACTTTACACAAGAGGATATCCAATATATCTGCAAATGGCCAATCAGCACATGTAAAGTTGCTCAACATTGGGAAATGCAAATTAAAATCACAAAATAATACTACCACATAATCACCAGAATAGTTAAAACTAATAAGACAATGCCAAATTTTGGCAAGGATGTGGAGCTACTGGGTCATAAGGGTCCAAGCAACTCCACTTCTGTGTGTGTATGTGTTAGGCTGTTCTTGCACCTCTATAAAGAAATACCTGAGACTGGGTAATTTATAAAGAACAGAGGATTAATTGGCTCACGTTCTGCAGGCTGTACAGAAAGCATGGTGCTGGCAACTGCTCAGCTTTTAGGGAGGCCTCAGGGAGCTCTTACTCATGGCAAAAGGGAAAGTGGGAACAGGAACTTCACATGGCAAAAGCAGGAGCAAGAGAGAGGGAGGTGCCACACACTTATAAACAGCCAGATTTTGTAAGAACTCATTATTGTGAGGATAGCACCAAGAGGATGGTGCTAAACCATTCATGAGAAATACACCCCCATGATCCAGTTGCCTCCTACAAAGCCCCACCTCCAATACTGGGGATTACAATGCAACATCAGATTTGGGCAGGGACAAATATATATATCAGCATATACAAGAAATGAATGCACATGTCCAACAAAAGGTGGGATTCTCATGGTAATTTATTCATAACAGCCAAATCCTAGAAATGACTCCAATGTCCAACAGAAAAAGAGAAGAAATGTGTATATTTCATATGGAAGACAACACAGAAATAAAAAAGAATGAACCACCAAAACATACAACACAAATGAATCTCACAGATATTAGGTTGAATGACAGAAGCCAGTAGTTTTCATCTTCTGTTTGGACCCTGATTGATACAAGTACATACTATATGATAGAAGTTCAAAAATAGACAAATTAACCTATGGTGATAGAAGTCAGAACAGAAATTACCTCTGGGGTTGTGATATTGACTAGAAAAGGATAGGAGGGAGTCTTTTGAGGTGCTGGTGGTATTCTACACATTGGTCAGCTACACAGTTGTACACATATGTAAACACTCATTGACCTCCTCTTCACTGTATCCAAGTTAGACTTCAGTAAAAAAGAGAGAAGTTTGAACTGCCCTTTCAAATCTATTTTCCTATTATCTTTTCCTTGTCAAATCATAAGTATATTTTAATGTTATAGTGTATTATTAGTCTGTTTTCACGATGCTGATAAAGACATACCTGAGACTGGGCAACTCACAAAAGAAAAAGGTTTAACTGGACTTACAGTTCCACATGGCTGCAGAGGCCTCAGAATCATGGCAGAAGGCAAGGAGGAGCAAGTCACATCTTACATGGATGGCGGCAAACAAAAAAGACTTGTGTGGGGCAACTCTCATTTTTAAAACCATCATACCTCATGAGACCCACTCACTATCATGAGAACAGCACAGGAAAGATCCATCCCCCAAAATTCAATCATCTCCCACCAGGTCCCTCCCACAACACATGGGAATTATGGGAGCCACAGATGAGATTTGGGTGGGAACACAGAGCCAAACCGTATCATATAGGTATTATTTCTTGATCTATTAGAAGTATTACATTTTTCACATCTATTATTTATTAATTTGGTCCACTGATTATGTTTATGATTTTTTGTCATAGACAGTTGTTATATTTTATACATACAAATGTGCCTGTATTTTTTTATAGCTTCTAGGAAGTAACTACATATATATGAAAGATTTAGGTATATAAAAATTAGTGAATAAAAATCTTACAAATGTCCAGGAAATTACACATATAGTCTGGGAGACCTTGTGACCTTGCTAACCATAGCTAACCAAAAGCTATAACAGAAAAGATAATATAATAGGAAAATGGCTTTGAAAGGGCAGTTTAAACTTCCCTCTATAGAAATAAAAGCACGAGTACATAAGGACGTGAGTACTAGGGTGTTTATTTCAGTATCATTTTAAGTGGCAATGAACTGGAAATAACGTTAATATCCATCAATAAAGAAATGGCTGAGTAAACTGTGAAGCATTTGCACCATGGAATATTATGTAGCCTATTATAGAAAATAAATTAGAGCTATCTGAGGATTTGGAAGGATTTCCAAAAAGGCATCACTGAGTGAGAAAAGCAAGATAGCTGAAAGGTTGTATATTTTGACTCCATTTGTCTAAGTCAAACAGCAACAAACTTTTAATATGTACAGGTACATAAATGTCTATATATGATCATATGGATACTAAGAGAAATTTGGAAAAATTCAACCTACATTACTAATATAAGAATATAGTGACAGCAAGTAGAGAAAAAGAGATTACGTGTTTGGGGGAAAAAAGACAAGCCTAAGACAAAGGAGGTATAGGGCTGGGCACGGCGGCTCACATCTGTAATCTCAGCACTTTGGGAAGCTGATGCAGGCGGATCACTTTAGGTCATGAGTTTGAGACCATACTGGCCAACAAAGTGACACCCTGTCTCTACTAAAAGTACAAAAATTAGCCAGGCATGGTGGCAGGCCTGTGATCCCAGCTACTAGGGAGGCTGAGGCAGGAGAATCGTTTGAATCCTGGAGGCAGAGGTTGCAAGGAGCTGAGATCGTGCCACTCCATGTGTAAAATCATGTGTGTACAAATTTTTAAAAGTATTTTGACTTAAAAGGAGAAATATTAAAAAATTAGTAAACTGAAGTTTAAGCACAAGAATTTACAGTAAAAATCTTAGAAAGGATCAAACAACAGATAAAACATCAGAGATTAAAGAAATAGGAAAAAGGGCCGGGCGCGGTGGCTCATGCCTGTAATCCTAGCACTTTGGGAGGCCGAGGAGGGTGGACCATGAGGTCAGGTGTTTGAGACCTGCCTGATCAACATGGTGAAACCCCATCTCTACTAAAAACACAAAGATTAACCAGGTGTGGTGGTGGGTGCCTGTAATCCCAGCTACTCAGGAGGCTGAGGCAGGAGAATTGCTTGAATCCGCGAGGTGGAGGTTGCAGTGAGCCAAGATTTTGTCACTGCACTCCAGCCTGGGCAACAGAGTAAGACTCTGCCTCAAAAAGAAAAAAAAAAAAAAAAGAAATAGGTAAAAGAAATGATAAACATGAGTAATAAAATCAAAAGCTAACTATTTTAAAAGACTATGCTCTGTCTTTAATAAATTCAACAAACCTCTGGGAAGACTGATCAAGGAGAAAGGAAGAGTGACTGCACACACCAGGACAAAGAAACAAAGACACATCCGCCAAATGATGTAACAGATTGTCCTAGGAATCTAAGCTTGGAAGAAGAATTAAACATCACTTGCTGCAACAATTTACACAGTCACTGAATTCTTGCTCTTCTTAGGAGTATCTATAATCAGATGTGTACCTACGTAACTATTGCAACACCACAGTGGTCTTGCAGTCAGAAGATCTGGATTAAAGCAGACATCTGCCACAGCAGGACAAGGAAAAACAAAATCCACTCTCCTAACATTTATTGAAGGTTTACTCTCTGCCAAGCCTTATACTAAAAGCTTTATATGCACGCTCATTTAATCCTCACAACTCTATAAAGTAAGAACTATCATCATTACCATTTTACCCATTTTTGCAGATGAGGAAATTTCAGCACGAAGAAGTTAAATTGTTTGTTGAGGGTCACGTGGCTAATAAGTCAAAGAGCTGGAATCATCCCAGGTCCTCTGGGCCTTGGTTTCCCATTTATAGAAGGTGGCTCTATCTCAGAGAGGAGGACCTCAAAACAAAGACATAAGGAAGCTGAACGTAAATTGAAGACTATAAAGGGTAGATAAATATTACTTATAGCATAGTAGCTAAGAATGTGATTTTCAGAGTCAAGCAGACCCGGGTTCAAGTCAGTCTTTGCAATTAAAAAGTATCCTTGAGAAAGTGATTCTCTCAACCTAACTTTAAGGGTTGCCAGAGTTAGCAAAATACAAATACAGGAAGATGAGTTAAATTTGAATTTCAGATAAACAATGAATTTTTAGCATAAGTATGTTCCATATAATATCTGGAATGTAATTATACTAAAAAAAATTGTTCCTCTGCAATTTAAATTTAACTGGGCAGCTTCTGTTTTATCTAGCAACCCCTAACCTTGGTTTTCTCATCTGAAAAGATAAAAATAAATAACTGGTAATGTATCAGTGTCACCAAGTCTTCTACTTGTCTTTAAATATCCATCCTTGTCTTCTCCCTTAGTAACAGAACACTAAATTTTTAGCTGGGCTTGAAGCTACCCAACTAAATGATTACATTTCCTAGCCTCCCTTGCAGAAAGAAATGGCCATGTGACTAAGTTCTGCCCAAAGATGTGATGGAGAATATAGAGTAGAGAGATTTCTAGGAACTTGCCTTGAAAATAAAAGATTACATCCAGTTTTTGACTTCTTTTCCTTACATGGATGTAATGGCTGAAATTCTAACAAATTCCGTTCTAGGCCATAAGGATTTGCTGCATGCCCTGAGGGTTGGCAGACACAAGAGCTGAAAACATTAGGCAGTAATGACCATTGGCCACAGTCCTTACCTTGGCTGCATGTTAGAATTTTCTGGGCACTGTTGAAAACTCCCCATGCCCCAAACAATTAAATGAAAACTTCTGTGGACATCTGTACTTTTTAAATTTTAAAATTAATTGTTTCATTGATATAATTGTACATATTATTGCAGTACAATTTGATGTTTTGAGACTTATCTATTTTGGATAATGATCTAGTCAAGGTAGTTGGTGTATCCATCGCCCAGTGCATTTATTATTTCTTTGTGGTGAGAACATTCAAAAGCCTCTCTTCTAGCTATTTTGTAATATAGAATATCTTATTGTTAAACATTTAAAGCTTCCTAGGGTCACACTGTATGGCAAAGGAGAAAACAACTGCTTTAAGTTTTCTTCACTGATTTCCAAATAATACCCTACGAATAACAAGAATTGCTATGGCCATCCAATGGACATTACAATAGGGTAGTTTTCGACTGGGGTCCAGGATTCATGGATTGTTTTTTTAACCAAGCACTCCAGGTGGTGCTTATCTTCAGTCAGGTTTGGGAAGTGCTGTGTCAAGGTCAATGAGCATAAGAATCAGAATCACTTGGAGAGCTCATTTTTTTTTAATGAGATAGAGTATACATATCACAGAATTCACCAATTTCAAGTGTGTACTTAAAATTCAATGACTTTTAGTAAATGTACTGAGTGGCACCATAAATCATTTTATTTTTATATTTTGTAGCAACAGCCTCTCACTATGTTGCCCAGGTTGGTCTCGAACTCCTGGGCTCAAATGCTCCTCCCACCTCAGCCTCTCAAAGGGCTGGGATTACAGGCCCAAGCCTTTGCACTCGCCCTATAAATCAGTTTCAGAATATTTTCATCCCCCCAGTAAGATCCCTCCTGCCCATTTACAGTGAATTCTCATTCCCGCCTCTAGCCCCGGGAAACCACTAATCTATGTTCTGTCTTTATAAATTTGCCTTTTCTGGACATTGCATACAAATGGAATCATATAACATGTGGTCTCATGCCTGGCTTCTTTCACTTAGTGATGTTTTCATTTCACTTAGTAATGTTTTTGAAGTTCATTCATGACACAGCATATGCCAGGAGTTTGTTCTTTTTTTTGCTAAGTAGTATTTGATAATACCATGCAGCAAAAGTTTGCTGAAACCCAGACCCAGTCCTGGACTCCACCCACTTAGATATTCTTTCTCAGTTGAATTTGCATTTCTAACAAGCTCTCAGCTGGTCCTGATCCATAGACCACACCTTGAGTTGCACTGGTCCAGAAAATGCCAAACCGCAACTGACTCATTTAACACATCAGTCTACTAAGTACAATTTCCCAACTAGTGACAGAACTTCATCATGAAGTTCATATGAGTTCATCCTAAAGAGACTTATCGCCAGACTTTGCCTTTTATTTTTACATTGTCATCTACTGACAAAGGTGTCACTACACACAGATCCCTGCCAAAAGTTCAAAAGCCGTTTAGAAAATTAAAGGAAAATAAGATCATCAACACTCAGGATCATTACATTTGCCCAACAACTGCAAAGAAAATGTTTTGCTTCATTAACAATTAGTAAAGATAATTTGAAAAGACAAAAATTAAAATTATGCTAATACAGCAAACTGTCAATCATATACTTAAATATCAAATATTCATTGTTAATGAGAGTGCAGAAAAATAAGTGTTCCCATTTACAGCTGGCAGAAGATTAATTAGTAAAACTATCTTGGAGGATAACATCACAGTATTGTCCATATCAAGGTCTTTAAAATACTCGTGCCCCTTTCTCAGAGTCACAGAACTTGTGGTTGTAGCAATGATAGTTGAACCCAGATAGTCTCCAACGTCTGAGTTATTAACCACTACAGGACATTTCCTCTTAAAGGAGTTCACAGTCTACTTAGAGAACAGAGATTTCCACAGAGTAAATAAAGGAGCAAACTTTTATTTTTATGGAGGAAAGGCATGATAAAAATATAGTATGAATGGCTGGGCACAGTGGCTCATGCCTGTAATCCCAGCATGTTGGGAGGCCAAGGCAGGAGGATCACCTGAGGTCAGGAGTTCGAGACCAGACTGGCCAACAAAGTGGAAACCCGTTTCTACTAAAAATACAAAAATTAGCCAGCTGTGGTGGCACACACCTGTAATCCCAGCTACTCAGGAGGCTCAGATGGGAGAATTGCTTGAACCTGGAAGGTGGAGGTTGCAGTGAGCCAAGATTGTGCCACTGTACTCCAATCTGAGTGACAGAGCGAGACTCCTTCTCAAAAATAAAAAAAAATTAAAAATATCGTATGAATGGAACATGTAACAAGTCTTAAAATTTTCATATTAGAAAATGGATACTTGATTCCAATGGCTTTATGTTACCTTTCTGATAAGGTGGTTAATAGATCACAGATATTTAGAGTTGTATTAGGGAGTTTTCACTCCCATTTCAAAATGGGTAGATCTTCTGGACTGGCTGGACTCAGTGCCTCTCAGGTAGGCTTGCTTGTGTGTTTGTGTTCTGTTCTAAGGTTGTTGAGCACGGGTAGCTTGGCTGGACAGTAGCTAGTGTCAGCTGCCCTCATTCACATGTCTGGAGTTTGCTGGCTAGGAACAATAGGAGTGCCACATGCCTGTCACCATCCAGCAGGCTGCCTCAGGCTTCTTCACATGGCAGGCTAGCCCAGGCTTATTCCAACAGTGGCAGGTTTCAAGAGAAGCAAGAAAAGGCAAACCCCAGCGTGAAAGTCTTTTGAAGAAGAATCTGTGGCCACCTTTGTAATCTACCACAGTCCACCCTCTGCAAAATTTACATTCTACTCACAGACAAAATATGCTTGTCCCATCTCCAGACCCTCCAAAATATCATCCAATTATAGCATCAGGATTAAGCTCTAGGATTCTATTTTTAAAGATTTCTCCTAATGAAATAATTAAAAATGCACATACATATACAACACTGTTTGAAGCAGTGCTGTTGTTCATGTAGAAAAGCCAACTGAAACTTAAATGTTCAACACAGTAGAAAAGGGACTACACATACTTTAATATTTTCAATATGTTACAGATTCCAAGAGCCCTGATATTTGGTAAAAGTGATGAGTTCAAATCCCAGTTCTGCCAATTGTGGGCTGCACAACTCTTAATCTTTAAGAGATTAAGGAAATCACTTAATCGCTCTCTGCCTCAGTTTCCTTATATGTAAAATGGAAATAACAACACAACCTACCTCACAATATGGTGATTCCTAAAAATATTAACATAAAATTACCATATGGTTCGGCACATTTCTGAAAGCAAGAACTCAAACAGATATTTGTACACCCATCTTCATAGCAGCATTATTCACAATAGCCAAAAGGTTGAAGTAACCCAAGTGTCCAAGGATAAACAAAATATGGTTTATTTATACAATGCATTATTATTCAGCCTTGAAAAGGGAAGAAATTCCACATGTTACAACATGGATGAGCCCTGAGGACATTATGCTAAGTAAAATAAGCCAGTCACAAACATTGTATAATTCCATTTCATGAGGCAGCAAGAGCCAAATTCATAGAGGCAGAGAGTAGATTGGCAGTTTCCAGGGGCTGGGGGGACAGGAAATGGGGACTTGTTTAATGGGTACAGAGTTGCAGTTCAAGATGAAGAACTTCTGGAGATGTACGGTGGTGACTGTTGCACAACACTGTAACTGTACTTAATGCCACCGTATTGTACACTCAAAAAATAGTTAAATGGTAAATTTTAGGTTATGCATATTTTACCACAATAAAAAATGGAAAACATAACTGCCTCATAGAGTCTCTGTAAGAAATAAATGAGTTAATATATGCAAGCCATTAAAATAGTAGCTGGCACACAGTAAGCATGTGAGTGATACATGACAAATAAGATGCAATATACTTTCAAATATTAACATGTAAAAATACAAGAGAAGGTTAAACAGAAATGCAGAATACATTTTCAGATCATGCAGTGTCGGTAAAAATCTAATTTTGCTTCGAATATATATATTTTTTATTTTTTTGTGAGATGGAGTTTCACTCTTGTTGCCCAGGCTGGAGTACAATGGTACTATCTCGGCTCACTGTAACCTCCACCTCCCATGTTCAAGCGATTCTCCTGCCTCAGACTCCCAAGTAGCTGGGATTACAGGCATGAGTCACCACACCTGGATAATTTTTGTATTTTTAGCAGAGATGGGGTTTCACCATGTTGGGCAGGCTGGCCTTGAACTCCTGACCTCAAGTGATCCACCCACCTCGGCCTCCCAAAGTGCTGGGATTACAGGTGTGAGCCACTGCACCTGGCCTGCTTCAAATATTGTAAAGATCTATGTATATCTACACATAGGAAAGAAAGGATGCAAAATCAAGTGAAACAAAATGTTATCCTGGTTAGTTTTGGGTGATGAGATTATAAGTGATGTTTGTCTTGATATATTTCTGATTTTTTCTCCTTTGAGCAAGAATGTGTGTTATTTTTATAAGCACCACCCCTAATCATACTTTTTAGGAGTTTAAGGGAGCTTTTCTGGCCCAATATCCTGTTTATATGTCCTCAATAACTAGAATGTCTTTCTTTTTCCAGAAAAAGACACCAACCACATGCCCTCTCCATGTACTGTTTATATTCCCTCAAACTTCACCCATGTGCCCAGATCAGGGGTCCCTCTAATAAAACAGATCAGGGGTCCCTCTAATAAAGGCAGTTCTCAGAACATTCATTTCACGTCCTGTACTCAGAGGAATTCTGAGAAGCACCAGAGACAAGGAGACTAGAACTTCAAGGAGACTTTCTTGCCTGACTTTCCTGCCATGGATGCTGTGAACCTTTCACAGCTCGTGCTTTTATCACTGCCTAGAGTTATTCTCCCTATTCCACCTTTGTCAAAATACTTTCTATTTTTCAAGGCCCAACTGGATTTCCTATCTTTGTGCAGCCTTCCCCAATTCTCCAGGTTGAGAGGAGCTCCCCATCCTGAGTTGCAAAGGCAGTTAGCAACTACCCAATCAGTTCTCTTGATGTGTCTTCCTACACAACTAAAACTATGAGTTTCCTGAGAGCGGGGATGGTACTCACTCAGGTCTGCAGCAGGGATTCAATTAATACATATTAGATACAAAAAGTATTTTGTTTGGTTTTACCTTGGCTATGCCATATACCTAATGGTATCCACAAACTCATATGTTAAATGACAGACTATTCTTGTCAAGTTTGCATGATAAGAGAATGTAAAGATCCAGTAAATCATCTGAGGTGGCGGGGGTCAGACAACAATAAAACGTCTTATTCCAAAAGTGTCACAATTATCCCAAAGAATCATGATAATAAGAATGAGTCTGCCTGAATCCATCTCAGCAAGCTGAGCCCAAAACATTGTCCTGGTAAAGCTTTAATTTATACTGCAAGAAATGGAAATTTTTCAATGATATTCACCTGAATAATTGAATGGTTTATTGCTTTGGAGAGGAACAATTGAGTAGTGTACTTCATTGTTTGGAAGAGGACTGACTGAATGTTCCATAGCTTGAGAGGGGAACAATGGGGCATGAAACAATTTGGAAGAGAAATAATTAGCATTCCATTGTTTAGGAGAGGAAGAATATCCCATTCCTTAAGATAGGAACACTTAAGGACAGACTTCTACCAATTTAGGACACTATTCCACCTAAAAGTTATTTTTCAAGCCATTTATTTATTTGGAACAGAAAATATATTTACCTAAAGGAATCATGCTTGTAATTATGTGTGAGATCCAGAGTAGTACCTTCATCACCTCCAAAATCTATTAAGTTTCCATTATATTTGAAGTAGAGTGCCAGTTTCAATTTCATTTACATTATACCACCAATTCTAACATTGTACCAATAAACAAGTGTATTCCCAAATCTAGCTCTGGCTACCAAGAGGTTGCTTTACTGCCTTCACTGCAAACACATGTCCTCTTTCTCCACTGTCCCTGCTGGAAGTGCTTCCCAGGTGGACAGATTAGATACTTCAGTCAAGTCATTGTAACTCTCAAATATTCTGCATAAAGTAAAATTGACTTGTGTGTATTGGCATAAGAGAAAGTAACTCTCCAGGCTAGTCATTCCTTAGGGTGTCCCGAATGGAGCATTGACTCAAATGTTTTGGATCCAAAAGTCAGTGAGAAATTTAAGGCTAAATCTCAACGTTCTATCACTTTATCTTGTCTCCCAAAAGTACCATCTGCTCAGCCAATGGAACAAGATTTCAAAGCTCTCGTTGTCTTCAAGTTTTTTGCCACCATTTAGGAACTGAGATGAATTTCTGAAAGTGACAATATCTTTTGGATAGATTTCAAATAAACCCTTCCACTCTCTTCTATTTTAATGTCTGTGGTAGACTGTTTGCAAAACTGGCCACCATAGTTTCCCTCCCCTTAATCACACCCTTGCATAGCCCCCGCATAGCTCCCTACCCCACTGACTCTGAACTTGCCCATATAGCTTCATTAACTGACAGGACAGCAGAAAAGGCAATGCAAACAGAGACTTAAAAAGTGCTTATGCATTGCGGCTTGCTCTATTTTTTGTTGCTTTTTTCAACTTTTATTTTAAAATCAGAGGATACATGTGCAGGTTACAAAGGTATATTGCATGATGCCGAGGTTTGGAGTATGAATGAATCCATCACTCAGGTAGTACCCAGTAGTTTTTTTCAACCCTTACTTCTCTTCTTCCCCCTCCTCTCTTGCACTCCCATGTCTATTGTTTCCATTTTTATGACCATGTGTACTCAATGTTTAGCTCCCACATATAAGTGAGAACATCCAGTATTTTGTTTTCTGTTTCTGCATTTGTTTTCTTGGGATAATGGTTTCCAGCTGCATCCATGTTGCTGCAAAGAACGTAGTTTTTTCTTTTTAATGGCTACATAGTATTCCACAGTGTATTTATAGCACATTGTCTTTATACAGTCCACCATTGATGGGCACCTGAGTGATTCCATGGTTTTGCTATTTTGAATAACACTGCAATGAACATACGGGTGCATATGTCCTTTTTGGTAGAACAAATTGTTTTCCTTTGGGTATACACCCAGTAGTGGGATTGCTGAGTCAATGGTATTTAACTCTCAGCTCTTTGAGAATCTCCAAACTGCTCTCCAAAGTGGCTGAACTAATTTACATTTCCACCAACCGTGTTTAACTGTTCCCTTTTCTCCACATCCTATCCAACATCTGTTTTTTATTTTTTCATTTTTTTAACAAAAGCCAGTCTAACTGGTGTGAGATTGTATCTCATTGTGGTTTTGATTTGCATTTCTCTGAGGATTAGTGATATAGTTTGGATGTGTGTCTCTTCCAAATCTCATGTTGAAATGTGATCTCCGATGCTGGAGGTGGGGCCTAGCAGGTGGTGTTTGGGTCATGAGGCCAGATCCCTCATGAATGGCTTGGTGCTGTCCTCTTGGTTATGAGTGACTTCTCACTCTGAGTTCATGTGAAATCTGCTTATTTAAGAAGAGACTGGCACCTCTTCCCTCCTCCTCTTACTCTCGTCGTGTGATACACATGCCCCCTTTTTGCCTTCTATCATGGTTGTGAACTTCCTGAGGCCCCCACCAGAAGCCAAGCAGATACTGGTGCCAAGCCTGTACAGTCTGCAGAACTGTGAACCAAAATAAACATTTTCCTTATAAATTACCCTGTCTCCTTTATATTCATGCAAAATTGACTAACACGATGGTGCGCATTTTTTCATGTTTGTTGGCCACTTGTGTCTTCTTTTGAAAACTGTCTGATCATGTCCTTTGTCCATTTTTTAATGGGGTTATTTTTTGCTTAAGTTGTTTAAGTTACTTATGGACTCTGGATGTTAGAATCTTTGTCAGATGCATAGCTTGCAAATATCTTCTCCCATTCTGTAGGGTGTCCGTTTACTGTGTTGACAGATTTTGTTTTTGGTTTTCACTGTGTAGAAGCTCTTTTTAGGTCTCACTTGTCAATTTTAGTTTTTGTTGCAATTGCTTTTGAGGACTTAGTCATAAATTATTTCCCAAGGCCAATATCCAGAATGGTTTTTATGGTTTTCTTCTAGGATTCTTATAGTTCCAAGTCTTACATTTAAATCTTTAATCCATCTGGAGTTAATTTTTGTATATGGTGCAAGACAGAAGTCCAGTTTCATTTTTCTGCATATAGCTTACCAGCTATCCTGGCACTGTTTATTGAATAGGGAGTCCTTTCCCATTGCTTCTTTTTGTTGACTTTGTTGAAGATAAGATGGTTGTACACATGTGGCTTTATTTCTGGATTCTCTATTCTGTTCCACTGGTCTATGTGTCTGTTTTTGTACCAGTACCATGCTGTTTTGGTTACTGTACCCTTGCAGTATAGTTTGGAGTCAGATAATGTGATGCCTACAGTTTTGTTCTTTTTGCTTAGGATTGCTTTGGCTATCCCGGCTCTTGTTTGGTTCCATATGAATTTTAGAATAGTTTTTTTTCTAATTCTGTGAAAAATGGTGTTGGTAGTCTGATAGGCATAGCACTGAATCTGTATATTTCTTTGGGCATTATGGCCATTTTAATGATGTTGATTCTTCCAATCCATGAGCACAAGATTTTTTCCATTTATTTATGTCATCTCTGATTTCTTTCAGAAGTGGTTTTGCAATTCTCCTAATAGAGACCATTCATCTCTTGATTAGCAGTATTCCTAAGTATTTTACTCTTTTTGTGACTATTGTAAATATGATTCTGTTCTTGATTTGGCTCTCAAACATTATTGGTGTATATAAATGCTGCTAATTTTATATATTAATTTTGTATTCTGTAACATTGCTGAAGTTGTTTATCAGCTCTAAGAGCCTTTTGGTGGCATCTTTGGGGTTTTCTAAATATGATGATATGATGATACAAATCATATCATCAGTGAAGAGAGATGGCTAAACTTCTTGTTTTCCTATTTGGATGCCTTTTATTTCCTTCTCTTGCTTGGCTGCCCTGGCTAGGACTTCCCATGTCTATTTTAAAAACTCTACTATCATGTGACGAAGCCTGGTCTAGCTTGCTGGATGAGAGACACAGTTGCCTCAACTGACAGTCTGCCAACTGCCAGGTGTATGAGTGAGGTCATGACTATTCAGTCACTGGTTGGTCTGCCAGATGACAGCAGATTCATGTGCAAGCCCAGCAGAGGTCAGCCAAGCTGACTCAAACCAGAGGAACACGCTGATCACAGAATGAGGAGCAGAATGAACGCCAGTATATTTTGCAGTGGATCATTACACAGCAAAATCTAACTGGTACAGAAACTGCTACCTAAAATTGGGGTGCTACCACAACCAAAATCTAAAACATGTGCATTGTCTTTGGGACCAGCTGATGGAGCTTTGAAAAGAGGCAAGGAAAATGTTATGAGGACTAGACAAATGGTGAGCAAGCTGTTAGCAGAAATGGGAAAGTAGTGAGAAAACAGCAATGGAAATATGAAAATGTATTGACATGTGATATACAGGATGGAACAATTAGCAATGCTGCCATCTTCAGCAACTGGGGTGATAGCAAAGGTACTTAAACTTTTAGACACTGGCAAAATTATTTCCATGTATGAGGAAAGAGTTGACTGGCTTATTTAGGTGCCTATGATTAGATACAGGAAAAGAAAGAGTAGGTGAAGGAAGAATTGTTCAGTTGTAAGCAGAATTTAGAAGAAATAGAGTCAGGATTTGGTGGATGGTAACATAAGTCTGTTGTTCAATTCCAGGTTTTTGAGCCAGTCAAAGATTCTCATAGCAAGCAATGACCACCAGCAAAAGAAATCAAGGACGTGACTCTAAGACACTTTGTGAAGGCCTCTGAAAGATTTAATGAGCTGCCTATCAGAATTGTTGGCTAGAGAAAAGGGTATATAAGAACTTTAGGGTGATTTTCCCAGAGTAGAGACAGGCTTACGTGGAGTAGGGTATACTTATAATGGGATACACAAACCCACAAAGTGTTAAGGGACTTGTACCAATAAAACACTCATCAGTTTTAACTGGATGAGAGTGATATGTGCCTTTATATAGGCACAAATGGGCAAAAAAAGCTAGTCAACTACCAATATGTGTCCTTTCCAACAAAAAAAGGATGGGCTGGGTGCAGTGGCACATGTCTGTAATCTCAGCACTTTGGGAGGCCAAGGCAAGCAGATTGCTTGACATCAGGAGTTCGAGACCAGCCTGGCCAAGATGGCAAAACACTGTCTCTACTTAAATACAAAAATTAGCCAAGTGTGGTGGTGTGTGCCTGTGGTCCCAACTAATTGGGAGGCTGAGGCATGAGAATCGCTTGAACCAGGAGGCAGAGGTTGCAGTGAGCTGAGATCACACCACTACGCTCCAGCCTGGGCAACAGAGTGAGATTCTGTCTCAAAAAAAAAAGTCTCAAGAGGTAGGATCAAAAATCAAGATAATAGACCATTGAAACCAACAGACTTGGAGTCTCTCTCAAAGAATTAAACTGGGTCTTGATCAAGAAAAATCTCCTATCTCCAGAGTACAAGACAGAGCAATATTTGTCTGGCGAGATTTCAGAATTGCTATGGACCGCAACTACTACAAGCCTCCCATCATTTTCACTTTTATGGTTGTCTTTTCCTGTCTTACCATAGTCTGTTGGGTGTGTGGGGGTCAGATGTTTCTTTTAGGTTAAGGTCTCCAGATTACTGATACCCACATTCAAAGAACCATACCTAAGAAGGCTCTTCTATATCTGGATGTGATGTAGATCAGGAAGTCCTAGATAATCTTAAAATTAATACATAATATAGATGTACATATTTTAGAAATACATGAGATATTTTCATATATTCATATAATGGGTAAAGATTAAATAAAGGTAATTGGGATATCCATCATCTCGAATATTTATCTTATCCCTATGCTAGGAACATTCAAATTATTCTACCTATTTTGAACTGTACAACAGGTTGTTAACTATAGTCATCCTACTGCTTCTATCTAATTCTTCTATCTAACTGCATATTTGTACCCATTGATCAACCTCTCTTCATTCCCTCATCCACTTCCACCTTTCCCAGGCTCTGGTAATCACCAATCTACTATCTTCAACAGATTCACTTTTTCAGCTCACACATATGAATGAGAACACGCAGTATTTGTTTCTCTGTCTTTGGCTTATTTCACTTAACATAATGACCTCCAGCATGTTGCTGCAAATGACAGGATTTCATTCTGTTTCGTGGCTAAACAATATTCCATTTTGTATATATACCATATTTTTCTTTCTCCATTCATCCATTGAGGGGCACTAAGGTTGAGTTCATATTTTGGTTATTGTGAATAGTGCTTCAATAAACACGGGAGTACAGCTATCCCTTTAATACACTGATTTGCTTTCTTTTGGATATAAACCCAGTGGTGGAATTGTTAGATCATATGGTGGTTCTATTTTTAGGTTTTTGAGGAACCTAGATAGAGTTAGAGTTTTCTGTAGCGGCTGTACTAATTTACATTCTCACCAACAGTGTACAAGAGCTCTCTTTCTCCACATTTTTGCCAGCATCCATTATTCCCTTTTTAATAAAAGCCATTTTCACTGGGGTGAGATGATATCTCATTGTAGTTTTGGTTTACATTTCCCTGATGAGTGATGTTGAGCATTTTTTTCATATACCTATTTGCCATTTGTATGTCTTCTTTTGAGAAATGTCTATTCAGATATCTTGCCCACATTTTAACCGGATGCTTTGCTTTTTGTTATTGAGTTGTTTGAGCTTCTTATATATTCTGGTTATTAATCCCTTGTCAGATGGGTAATTTGCAACTATTTTCTCTCATTCTGTGGGTTGTCCCTTCACTTTGTTGATTGTTTCCTTTGCTGTACAGAAGCTTTTTAGCTTAGTGTAATCTGATTTGTCTTTCTGCTGTCATGTGCCAGGGGTACATGTGCAGGTTTGTTACATAAATTGCATGTTGCTACAGCTTGATGTACAAATAATCTCTTCACCCAGGTAGTGAGCATAGCCTTCCAATCCATATCCCCCTCTGCCCCTGCCCCTCAAGCAGTCCCCAGTGTCTGTTGTTTCCATCTTTGTGTCCATTATTTTTCCATGTTTAGCTTCCACTTATAAGTGAGAACAAGCAGTATTTGATTTTCTGTTCCTATGTTAGTTCACTTCGGAACAGCTACTATTAAAAAGTTAAAAAACAGATGCTGGCAAGATTGTAAAGAAAAGAACACTAATACACTGCTGGTGGGAACGTAAATTAATTCAGCCACTGTGCATAGAAGTTTGGCGATTTCTCAAAGGACTTAAAATAGAACTACCATTTGACCAGCAATCCCACTACTGGATATATACCCAAAAGAAAATAAATCATTCTACCAAAAAGACACATTCACTTGTGTGTTCATTGCAGCACTATTCACAACAGCAAAGACACGGAATCAACCTAGGTGCCCATCAGTGGTGGATTGGATAAAGTAACTCTGGTACATATACATCATGGAATACGATGCCGCCTTTAAAAATAATGAAATCATATTCTTTGCAGCAACATGGATACAGAACTAGAGGCCATTATCCTAAGGGTTCTTTACACCCTTTGCTTAAATTCTTTGTAGCTATTATAAATGGGATTTCTTGACATCTTTTTCAGATTGCTCACTGTTGGTGTATATAAATGCTACTGAGTTTTGTGTGTTGGGTTTTTTTTTTTTTTTACTGGGCAACTTTACTGAATTTATCAGTTCTAAGAGTTATTTGTAGAGTCTTAACAGTTTTCTTAATATAAGATCATGTCATCTGCAAACAAGGATAGTTTGACTTTTTTCTTTTCTAATTTGGATGACCTTTCTTTCTCTTGTGTGATTTATTGCTCTGACCAGGATTTTCAGCATTATGCTCAATAAGAGTAGTAAAAGTACGTGTCCTTATCTCGTTTTAGATCTTAGAGGAAAAGTTTTCCCTGGTCAGTACAATGTTAGCTGTGGATTTGTCAGATATTGCCTTTATTATTTTGAGGTATGCTACTTTTATACTCAGTTTGATGAGGTTTTTATCATAAAGGACTGTTGAATTTTATCACATTTTGTCACCATCTATTCAAATGATCACATGGTTATTTTTCTTGGTTCTGTTGATGTGATATATTTTATGTTGAATCATCCTTGTATCCCTGAGGTAAATTCCACTTGATCATGGTGAATGATCTTTTTAATGCGCTGTTGGTTTGCTAGACTTACGATTTTGTGTTTTACAGTGATACTGGCCTGTAGTTTTGTTGTTGTTGTTGTGTTCTTGTCTGGTTTTGGTAGTGATGCTGGCCTCATAGAATGAGTTTGGAAGTATTCCCTTCTCTTCAGTTGGTTTGAAGAGATTGAGTAGAATTGGAATCCATCAGGTCATGGACTTTTCTTTGATGGAAGACATTTTACTACAGCTTTGACTATTGGTTTCTTGAGGTTTTCTATTTCTTCATGGTTTAGCCTTTGTAGGTTGTATGTGCCCAGGAATTTATCCAATATGTTGGCATATAGTTGTTTATTTAATAGTCTCTAATAATTCTTTGTATTTCTGTGGTCTCAGTTATGTCTCATTTTCATTTATGATTTTTATATTTGGTTCTTTTCTTAGTCTAGCCAAAGGTTTGCCAATTTATCTTTAAAAAAATTTGTTTCATTGATCTGTATTTTTTAGTCTCAATTTTATTTCTCCTGTGATCTGTTTCTTTCCTATTACTAATTTTGTTTTTGCTTTGTTTTTCTAGTTCTTTGACGTGTAATATCAGATTGTTTATTTGAAGTCTCCCATTTTTTTGATGTAGGCATTTATTGCTACAAACCTCCCTCCTAGCACTGCTTGTGCTGCATCCCATAGATTTTGGTATACTGTATTTTCATGTTCATTTGTTTTAACATATGTTTCAATTTTATTCTTAATTTCTTCACTGACCCATTGGTTGTTTGGAAACAGGTTGTTTAATTTTCATGTGTTTGTGTAGTTTCTAAGGTTCTTTTTGATACTGATTTCTAGTTTTATTACATTGTGCTCAGAAAATATTTTATATAACATTATTATATATAATATTTTATATAATTTCTATCTTTTTGAGTTTGTTGAGACTTGTTTTCTGGTCTAAGAAATGGTCTATTCTGGAGAATGTTCCATGTGGTGAAGAAAATGTATATTCTGCAGCAGTTGGGTGAAATATTCTGCAAATGTCAGGTCTATTGGTCTAGTGTGTAGCACAACTCCAATGTTTGTCTATTTTCTGTCTGGATGATCTGTCCATTACTGAGACTGAGATGTTGAAGTCTCCTACTATCATTGTATTTCCGTCTATCTTTCCCTTTAAATCTATCAGTGTTTGCTTTATATTTTTAAATGCTCTAGTGTTGGGTGCATCGTAGACTTTAATCTTGATGCTGTAATTGGATAATATTTTGGAGAGTTTGGAGATGGGACAAGCATATTTTGCATGTGGGTGAAACGTAAACAATTTTGCAAAGGGAAAACTGTGGCAGATCACAAAGGTGGCCACAGATTCCTCTTCAAAAGACTTGTACACTGGGGTTTGCCCTTTCTCGCTTCTCTTGAAACCTGCCACCATTTGAATAAGCCTGGGCTAGCCTGCCATGTAAAGAACTCTGAGCTGGCCTGCTGGATGATGGCAGACATGTGGCACAGTCACCTTTATTGCTCTTAGCCAGCAAACTACCAGATACATGAAGCCAGCTGGCACTAGCCACCCTCCAGCCAACCTACCAATAACCAACAACCCTACAACTGAACGCAAACACATGAGCAAGCCCAGCTGAGATTCACTGAGTCCAACTAGTTCATATCCACCCAGCAGAAATGGGAGCAAAACTCCCTGATACATTCTAAATATCTATGATCTACTATTAACCATCTTGTCAGAAAGGTAACAATCCACTGGAATCAATTATACATGTTCTAATATAAAAACTTTAACAGTGGTTAGGTACATGCTCCATTAATACTTTATTTTGATGACTCCCCCTCATACATGAAAAAAAAAGTTTGCTCCTTTGTTTACCCTGCATAAAAATTCTATCGTCTTCTCTAACTAGACAGTAAACTCCATTAACAGGAAATGTGCTTAGTGGTTGATAGCTCAGACTTTGGAATATGACTATTTGGGTTCAAGTATCAATGCCACAAGTTCTATAAATTGGAGCAATTTACTTACCTCACTGTGTTTAATTTCCTCAGCACTGAAACAGGTTTTATAATGGTAATCACCTCTAGGACTGTGGAGGATTACAAGAGTCAATACATGTCATCTGCTTACATTGGTGTCTGGCATTATTTTAATAGAGAGTGATGTATATTACCATTATTTGATATCAAGATGAGTCTTAGCCAAGGCTGGGCACTCCTCACTGTGCTTTGAAGGTAACATATATCTATAAATAAATAATCAATAGAAGAGTTTGGGAATTCTAGGGCATTAATTAGACCATGAAGCATTGAAGCAAATGTAATATATTCATAAAGTTACCAGTATAAGGTATTTATATAATACTTTTGAGGATCTGAAGTATGCTCAGTCATTATCTTAACCAGTCCTGCCATCTGCCCTGCAAAGTTTTAAGCCTAAAATGGGTAGATAACTTTTTTCCAATATTGGTGCTTTGCTTTGATACCAGAATCTAATTCTCAGCGCAGGGGAAAAAAAAAAAACAGGAAAACAAATGCCCAAGGCTGACAAGAGCACCCCCGCCCCAAAGTTTACATCCCATCTTCCTCATAGAATCTGCCATGTGGTCTGTGGCTCTGCTTTTCACAAGACTTTTATCAAATCCTCAATCATTGGACAATCACGCAGTGCAAAATATTTGAAGGCAGAGCCACAATGGTGTTATTATGGAACAAAACTTGGGAATAAGTTCTTTATAAGCTAGTGCAAGTAAAATTTTCCTAATGAAAGAGGAAGAAATAACAAATTAGCAATTCCATGAAGAAAAGGAAGCTGCCTCAATGCAAAAAGTCATCTTCATCTCCTCAGATGTGACGTTTGTCAATCTCAAGTCACGTATGGATCCCAGTAGGAACGGGTAACATTGGAAAGTCAGGCATACCCATATAAATACCCATATTGATTTCATTGTTTCCTCTTGCAACCAGATATTTATAAAACGTGATTCTTGACTCTGCATCAGAATCTCCATGGAGTCAACTAAAAATTCTTATGCTGAGCCTCAATGCAGCCCTACCAAGTCAGTGTCCCTAAGGTGGAGAGGGCCTGGGAAGTGCCTCTCAACAATCTCCCCAGATGTACCCTGAGCACACTGATATGCAAGGTCAGGTGCTGGCTTGTGCTAGAATGGCAAGGAGCACCATTAAGAGATTTAAGTGAGGAGTCAGAGTGCCCCAAGTGTCCATTCTAAACAATGGCTTGCTGTGTTTCAGATGAGGGAGCTGGAAGAGGGAGAAGAGTGAGACAGAGAAACAGAGTCAGGGAGACAGAATGTCTATCTAGAACAGTTTTTTATTTCAAGACATAACACACCACATACTCAAACACATGCACTTACTTACCTGAAACAAAAGTTTCAGGAAAGAATACTTACTGAAACTACCTGACACAATTTGAGTATCTTCTATCCTTTATTATGTATTTTAAGAATCCTAGTAATATTCAAGGAAATTGTTTTATCCACCCACTAATGGATTTCAGAAAGCACTGGTGCAGAGAAATCAAGGGTGGTGGTGGTGGAAATAAAGACAGACAAGAATTATAAAAGCTTGAGCTTTTTCTACCACAAGAGCCAGTGATAGTTATGAATCAGAAAGAGGATATAATGGTATCTTTGCTCCCCCTGCCTCAGCAGTGACTGCTCTGTCCCTTTCATGAAATGGAAGTCAAGAATCCCCTAAGATAACTAATAGTCTTGGAAAAAACGAATTAAGAACAGGAATAGTAAGTAGTTAAGTAGACAAAAAACACACTAACCTAGGAGAAAATAGTAAAATAAAGGTAATTGTAGTTATTTGTAGAGATTCTTTGGTTTATACCAATGTTGCTCCTCATGTGGGGAAAAAACTATGCTTAAGTCAACATGAGTCTGCCAAAAGGAGAAAGGAAGTTGTGTACCTATAGCCAAAATACCTAGACTTCCCCAACATTCATTCAACAAATGTTTATTGAGTACCTAGTAGAGTTAGAGATACTGCAGTGGACAAAAGATACAAAATTCCCTGCCCTGCTGGAGCTCATATTCCAGTGGAATGAGACAGTTACCTTTTAATGAGTAAAATATATATGTTAGATGCTGGTCAGTGTTAAGGAAACAAGGAGGAAAGTGAGGTGAGGGTGTTAGGGGAGGCCCCACAATTTTAGATAGGGGTGACCAGAGAAGGTCTCACTTAAAAATGACTGTAGTGGATAAACGCCATCCCCCAAAAAGACACTGTTCTACTAGACCTAAGCCTAGGTAGCTGTGAATGTGACCTTATTTGGAAATAGTCTTTACAGTTGTAATCAAATGAAGATGCAGTCATTGGCCCCAAATCCAATGACTGGTGTTTTGTTTGTTTGTTTGTTTTGATGGATTCTCACTCTGTCACCCAGGCTGGAGTGTAGTGGCGCTATCTCAGCTCACTGCAACCTCTGCCTCCCAGGTTCAAGTGATTCTCCTGCCTCAACCTCCTAAATAGCTGGGATTACAGGCGCCTACCAACATGACTGGATAATTTTTGTATTTTTAGTAGAGACAGGGTTTCACCATGTTGGCCAGGCTGGTCTCAAATTCCTGACCTCAGGTGATCTGCCCACCTCAGCCTCCCAAAGTGCTGGGATCACAGGTATGAGCCACCAGGTGTAAGTTTATTAAGTCATACTTCGGGCACGTGGAGTCAGCAGATATGTTGGCGTGAGCCATCATGCCCAGCTTAGTGTTCTTATAAGAAGAAATTTGAATATAAACAGAGAGGAAAATGCCACCTGAAAACACAGAGAGACCCACAGAAAAAAAAAATGCCCATGTGGCAACAGAGGCTGAGATTGGAGTGATGGAGCTGCAGGCAGAGGAATGCCAAGGATTGCCAGCAAACCAGATGCTGGAAGAGGCCAAAAAGGATCCTCCCCTAAAGGTTTCCAAGAGAAACTGGTCCTCACAACAACTTGATTTCAGGTTTCTAAGCTCTGGAATTGTGAAATAACACATTTCCATTGTTTTAGGCCACTCAGTTTGTAGTACTCTGTTACAGAAACAAATACAGTGACATTTGAGATTATTTCCGAAGAGGGTATCCCATGTACCTACCTGGAGGGAAGCACATCTCAGGACAGGGGACAGCCAGTGCGAAGGCTGTGAGATAGGAGGGTGCCTGGCATGTCCAATGATGAGAATGAGGCCAGTGGGGCTAAACCAGAGTGAGCAAGGAATAGCAGAAGATGAGTTCAGAGAATGAATGGCGACCAATCAAGTTAGACCTTGGGGTTTGGTAAAAAGTTCGGTTTTTATTTTGAGTGAAAAGGGAAACTATTGCAGAGGTTTGGACAAAAGAGTGACTTGATCAAAAATAAAAATATTCTTTGGGCTTAAATATCATTATGAATACAGATTTAAATATATTCTGTAGTTATTCATTTTGCCAATAAATGCCTCATGAAGGTGGCTTCCATGTCTTCTTGACACATTGCCATAAAGTTATAATGGCTTCCTGGGTTCCAGGAAGATGATTTCAGGTACATCTTATTGTCTTTCCCAGACCTAGATACTTCTCTAGAGATTCCTAGTTGCTTTTATTGGGAAAGGTATTTAGAGACCACATTATGATTGCTAGGGGAGTTCACTGTTGCAGGGTACGTCACTGTATCTAGGCTCTATCAGTGGTTTGGGCTGGAACATAGGTGTGGTTGTCATTGTTGGTTTAAATGGAGAAATTCATTATGAATTGCTTAATGAATTCCAAGTCAAATTCGGGACTACAGAATTTTCACTTAATCTCTTCAATCTGACACTTTTATATCCTTTCCTCTACACTAATAATTCTGGTTCTCAATAAAGTAAGTACTTATCTCACAATGTTCACAAGTATCAGAATAATCAACAAGATCAGCACTACATCAACACTGACTACTGCAGATGCTTAAATTTATTTTATAGATATTTTTATCCACAGAGTATATCCCACTAGAGATGCAGTAAAATTACTGTGTTTCAAAATCACTTGAAATAATTCTCTATTTGGTTAGGCCATAATCCCAACACACACAGTTACGCTTATTTCTTTCACTTTGACTTCAATTTTTACAAATAGCTATTTTGTAAATTTGATTTTGCTTTGTGATTATGTAAAACATCTTCCTGGTTCCAGAGGTGAATCTATAAAGCCAGGCATATTCAGAGATATTTTGCTCCTTCCCCATCCTTCTTACCTTGTTTCTTCACTGACCTTATAGATATGTAATACCTTTTCTATTTGTTTTTGGTTTATCTCCCCATCATAAATATAAATATACATATATAATTTATTTATTCACCCCCACTTTAAGTCATGCATCTTTTTCTCCACTCTGTTTATTTGGTTTAATCCAGAATGTAATCTGAAGATCACTCCGCAGCTGTTTATAAGCACACTCCTTGTTACAGCTGTGAATATATCAAAGTTTAACTAGTGCCCTATTGATCTACATATACTTTTTTGCACTCTTTCATGCATCTTTTTGTCCAAGAGTATTTTTTGAGTCTCCTTTAAATTTTATGTAAATGTTAGATCTATAGACTACAGGAATCTCTAAAGACCAGTTTGGAGGCAACAGATGGAGAGAAATACACTTGGTTTATGTCTTATTTCAACTTAACAAGCGCTATCGATCCCATGCTACATCAAAAGCACTCTGCTACGTTATCATGGGAGACACCAAGATAAAGAGCACCATCCTGCCCTCAAGGGCCCCAAGTGGGTCAAAAAAAATAGACAAGTGTGTAATAAAGGGCAGAATGAGATCAGTGCTATAAAAGAAATAAAACGAGAAGATGAAGAAAATACAAGTAATGACTTACAGCTGGGAAGAATCAGATATTACTTCATAATGAAAGACCAATCCTTTTAAAAATTACAAAAAAATAATTGATCTAACATATGTAGAGAAGGATGAGCATTCCAGGAAGAATCAAGGGCACAAAGGAGAGGTCTGCTCAAGGGATATGCAAGCTCAAAAGTCAAGGGAGGCATTGAGAGGTGACATAAGGATAGAAACAGATAGAAATAATGTTAAGAACAGAGGCTTGAGAATTAAACACTGGAGTCCAAGCCCTGAACCTATCACTTACTCTGTGACCTTCAGCAAGTTCACACAACACGTGTTTATATGTGCTACCCTAGATCAGACATTGTGAGCTATCCCTTGTGCAGCTGAGTCCTAAAATAGAACTCTGCAGTGTCTGACATTGTTGATAACCTCATTTTTGAAACTCTCCACCTTGGACTTCTGAGTCAATCTCTCCAGTTCCAAAGATACCCTTCCTATTTTCTTCTCCTCTCACTGGCTGCCTTTCTCCTAAGGCCATAGAGAGACACAACCTCTGCAGAGGAGACCCAGCCTTTGTTCTCAGCACAGTATTCTTCTACCCCAGGTTCCCGCCTCCTCTGCTAGCGAACGTGTTGACTTCTATAGTAACCACCTCTGCTATATACACATCTCTTCCCCCAGACACCTCAAGATAACTTTCCCAAGCTTGGGATGCTGTTTTGCACCTGCAGCATCTCAGCCATCCTATAGATTATGTAAGTCACAGAAGTCTCCCCCATGCTTGTCTTGTCTTACTCCAGCACTACTTACTCTTTGTTGCCATGTCAAACGACTTCAGGCATTGTGATGTAAAGCTATGCTTCCTCTTTCCTCAGTAACAATAACAATAGCTGACATTTTAACACATATTCAGTACATATTTAATGAAGATCTATTTCGTGCCAGGCAATGTTCTGGGCACTGAGAATAAACAGTGAACAAAACAGACCAGGTGAGGCTGTTATAAATCGTGCAAAATATGCCAGGAATTCTGCTAAATATTTTATGTGGATCAGATAGTTGAAACCATTTTAACAACCTTCGCAGATAATTATTTTTGTTAGGCTTATTATGTAGGTAAATAAAATGAATGTTAAGTCAATTAACTAACTTGATAACTGAGTTTGTATCCTTCTTGTCCTCTGAGTAGTTGTCTAATTTTAGGCAAGTTTGTTATAACTGCTTTCTGACTCACTTTCCATATCTGGAAAACAGAGATTATAGTAACCACCTTATAGTGTTTCATGAGAAATAAATGAGCTCTTACCTGGAAAGAAAAGTAGAACAGTACCTGGCACATTCAATAAATGTTAGCAAGTATGACTGCATATTTCCACTCTTAGCATATGACATAACGTTCATCTGTTTAAGCATTTGGCCCATTAGATAGTGAGACTCTAAGGATCTGCATTTTAGTTTTTTCATCTCAAAATTCTCGTGTGGAAAACAGGGTTAATTGTACTTACTTTGCAGCTGAGTTACAGGATTAGCGACAGTGTTTATATAAAGTACTTAGTATAGTTCCTAAGATAGAGTAGGTACTCAGTAAATTTTCTACTCTTATTACTATCATCACTTAGTATTATTCTCTAGTGATTAGCACATTTCTAACAACAAAAAGATTGTTCAAAGAACATTTTGTGGATCACATAGAAATAAATGTGATAGAATTGCCTCAGAAGCACCCCCGTTGTCATTGGGACCTGAGGGATTACTATTGCCTCCCTCTGTTTCCTGAGTGGCAGGTCATCACTTGCTTTGGTTAACACTGAGTGGCAAGGGCTCATCCCTGCTAACTACTTAAAAGCTAATATTAGGTTTGCAAAAACTGCTTTTTAATAATCTTTAACGGCCCTCCAGGAAATCTCATTAGCAGACACCGAATCACTTGGGGCTGTGCAGAGGAAGGTTGGCACACATGGTCGGAGGTCGTCAGCTCCTATTCGGCTCTGATCAAAGGCAGAGCACGTACCATCTATGAGCTGCAAAGAGGCCCCTCCGCTAGATGTCTGAGAGCCATCTCTTCCCTTACCTTGTCCATCTTGTCTGGAGCCTCAGGCCTTCAGAGAAGAGTACTGCAGTCCCCTGCCAGCTGATCTAACAGATGCCAGTCTCGTCCTGCACAGCCAGATCCTCCCTGGTTTTAACAGGAGGCATCACTCCTCTGCTCAAACACCCACCATGGCTCCCTTTGCCTCTTCACAAACTCTGAGCTCTTAACCAGGAGCCACTTTCCACCTCCCTCACTTGCTCCTTGTGACTCCCCTACAATGAGTGACTATCCAAATCAAGAGAGTCAGGTTGCTTTGTCCCAGACAGAAACTTTGTACTGTTTCTTCCTGCTTCCGATCATTTTGCACATATAGTTCCCACTATCTGGATCACCACTACTCACTGCAGTTGTCCCTGTGGCAATGTAGGGGTGAAGAAACGGTTCAGGACATGGATGCTATAGATACGGATTCTTGTCCTAGCTTTACCCCTAAACAACTCTGAGAGAAGATAAATCACTCTCAGCCCCTATCTCTCCTCATTGTTCAAAATATTGCAGGGGTATTTCTAAACCTTGGTGATACTGACATTTAGGGCCAGATCATTCTTTCTTATTGGGATGAGAGTATTAGTCTGTTCTTGCATTGCTATAAACAAATACCTGAGACTGGGTAATTTTTAAGAAAACAGGTTTAATTGGCTCAGAGTTCTACAGGCTGTACAGGAAGCATGGCACCAGCATCTGCTTCTGGGGAGGCCTCAGGAAGCTTTTTCTCAGAGCAGAAGGCAAAGCAGGAGCCAGTACTTCACATGGTGAAAGCAGGAGCAAGAGAGAGGGTGGGAGGAGGTGCCACACACTTTTAAATGACCAGATCTCATGAGAACTCACTATCACAAAGACAGCACCAAGCTTGTCATGAGCTTATGATCTTATGAACCAACCTCCCACCAGGCCCCACCTCCAGCATGGGAATTACAATTTAACATGAGATTTGGGCAGGGATAAATATCCAAACTCTATCAAGGTGCTACCCTGTTCATTGTAGGATGTTGAGATGTACTTAGCTAATTCACCATCACATACCCAAAGAAGTGCTTCTATTGTCTCCATTTTAGAAATGAGGAAAATGAGTCACAGAAAAGTTAGATCACTTGCCCAAAGTCATAGGTCGGAATTCACTTCCAGGAAGCCTAGCTCCAGATTCCCTCTTCTGAATCCATAATGCCTCTTAGAATAAGCAGGTACTTTGAAATAAGAAAGACTGATATTTATATTCCAGCTTTAGCACCTATGAGCTTCAGCGTTTTGGACAAGCTGCAGCTCTGATTTCTTCAGTCAGTAAAATGGAGATAATAATACCTATGTCGTGAGACTGAAGTTTAAAAATAACACATATAAAGCTCCTAGGATAGAGTCGACCTATAGAAGATGCTTAATGCAAAGGACTGGTGGTGATGGTGATTGAGATAAAAAAGTGAGGGTAACCGGAGGGAAGAAACTATAAAATCCTTAAAAAAAATAGGTCAGCCCACGACTTTTTTCTTCTTTATATTTCCAGGGTTTGGACAGTGCCTTGCATAGAGGAGATAGTGTATCTCTGTCTTTTCAGGATCCTGTATTATGGCTTGGCAAACTACATCTCACAGACCAAGCTGGCCCACCATTTATTTTTGTTAATAAAGCTTTATTGGAACACAGCCATGCCTGTTCATTTATACATTATCTATGGCTGTTTTTGCACTACAGTGGCAGAGCCAAGCAGTTGTGACGGAGACTTATGGCCAACAAAGCCAAAACGATTGGCTATTGAGCCCTTCACAAAAAAGGTGTGTCTCCCTTTAAATTATAATTTGGATTGAAACACACCAAATGTGAAAATCTCCAATATCCCCTCCTGGATCAAAAACATTCTGTGATTTTTCTGAGTTCCCAACTCCAAGCTTACGTCTTGCATATTACCTTCTATAATTGACCTCACCCAGCTCAAGCTTCGCTGATTATTCTCTCTCATTGCCTCCCTTACACCCCAGATGAAGGCACTGCACTATTAATTTGCACCATCTCTCATGTTGTCAATTTGAAGGTGTCCCACAATTGCTTTCAGCAGTTGTTTCTGCAGACAAACCCCCAGTGCTTGCTCTAGGCTGGTGCCAAGGGCTGCCGCCTGAAGCTTGCTGACAGCCCAGCTGCTAACCTCCAGGTCAGAGAAATGATACCAACTTCACAATCAGAGGGAATAAGACAGAAGACTCAGGTGGGCCCACACTGGGCTCAACCTTTTGCTTCTTGATTTTTCCCCTGTCCTTCCTCATGGTTCCAGACCTGATTGTTAAGTACTACCATGCCTCTCAAAAGCTGTCTCTCTTAACCAGGTCTGATAGGACAAAGCTATCTTTCAAGAAGAACTCAAAAACTGTAGAGGGGAATAAAACAATTTTTAAAAATAAAGAAAAAAGTTGAGTCAAACTTTTGCTTCCTAGGGACTTTTACTTTATTTTATTTATTTTTGAGACAGGGTCTCACTCTGTCACCCAGGCTGGAGTGCAGTGGCACAGTCTTGGCTCCTTGGCCTCCTGGGCTCAAGCGATCCTACCTCACCCTCCTGAGTAACTGGGACTATAGGTGCACACCACCACTCCGGGGCTAATTTTTTTGTATTTTTGGTAGAGATGGGTTTCACCATGTTTCCCAGGCTGGTTTTGAACTCCTGGGCTCAAGCAGTCTCCCAACCTCCGCCTCCCAAAGTGTTGAGATTACAGGCAGGAGCCACCGCGCCCAGCTTAACTTCTAAATTAGCATTCAACTCAGAAATTCCAGTACTCCAAGCATTCACAAAGCAACGGTATTAGTCTATTTTCACGCTGCTGATACAGACATACCCGAGACTGGGCAATTTATAAAAGAAAGAAGTTTAATTGGACTTACAGTTCCATGTGGCTGGGGAAGCCTCATAATCATGGCAGCAGCCATAGAGAAGCAGGCAAAACGGAGGAGGCAAAGAGAGCTTGCGCGGGAAAACTCCACCTTATAAAGCCATCAGATCTCGTGAGACTTATTCACTGTCAGGAGAACAGCATGAGCGAGACCTGCCCCCAATTCAATTATCTCCTACCGGATCCCTCCCACAACACGTGGGAATTATAGGAGTATAATTCAAGATGAGATTTCGGTGGGGACACAGCCAAACCATATCAGTAACTGATAGTTACAGATACCAGTTTAACAAACCTAGGTCAGGACCACTTACCAGCTATGTGACAATGAGGCATCCTAAGTGCTTCTCTCTTCATTAGAGAAGAAATTCTTCCCAGAAACATCCTGAAACTTCTTCTTTAGCCCTACTGGCCTGTGCAGACTTATATGTTCTTGCCATATCTGCAAGGGGAGTCTGAGAAAGCGGGCAGTTATGTTCAGTTTCTGTTGTGAAAGGTGGTCTCTCCCAGAAGAGAGTGAGAGGAATGGAAACTGAGCAGGAGCCATCAGTGCTTGCAGTAGTGAGTTACTACCATCTGAAAATATGTGGCCGGGCGCGGGGACTCATGTCTGTAACCTCAGCATTTTGGGAGGCCGAGGTGGGTGGATCACCTGAGATCAGGAGTTCGAGACCAGCCTGGCCAACATGGTGAAACCCCGTCTCTACTAAAAATACAAAAATTAGCTGGGCATGGTGGCGGGCACCTGTAATCCCAGCTACTCAGGAGGCTGAGGCAGGAGAATCGTTTGAACCCAGGAGGCGGAGGTTGCAGCGAGCTGAGATCGCGCCATTGCATTCCAGCCTATGCAATAAGAGCGAAACTCCATCTAAAAATAAAAGTAATAAAACATCTTCTTTCTATATACAACAATGTATATCACTGTTTGCAAATGTCAGGTACCCAGAGGGCCCACCCTTTGAGCCCACTTTCATTTTTTGCTCCAAAAAGGACAGGGGTCTCTTCTTTCTAACGGGTGCTCTCTTACCCTTCAAAAGGCTTGAACTTTCTAACAGATTCCTCGGGTCGCCTCCCCATTGAGTGATGAGAGTAGCATATGCTGGGAATGGGTTAGGAAGGTAAGAAAGGAGGAGGGTACCTGAATACTCACAGTTCCCATGTATCACGCACTCTGTAATTAACTTTCCCTGTGAGATTTTATCTCATTCTCATCTCAACTCTATGAGGTAGACATAATCATCACCAGTCACTCCTCCACTAGAATGAGGCAGGTGTGATGCCCAAGGCTACACATTTAAGAAACCACTCTTTCTCAGGGTTATGCCTATGGTATCCCTGCACTGATATAACCTAGAGAGTTAGTGCCTCCTTAAATTTTGCTCACTAGGCTCCTCACTGGCCTGAACCTCATCTGGCTGTGATCATCACCCTTGTATAGTGAGAGGATCAGAGAGGTCGTAGCTTATCCAAAATTATATTTCTGAAAACCGACAGAGCTGTGATTGAAACCCAGTTTGCCTGACTCCAGAGAACTTGCCCTTTAACACTAGGTGATGCTGTTTTGAGTATGAGTGAGGCAGGTACCATGGAAACAGGGAGAGGGTATCACATGGAATCTGTTCAAAGAGCTGGGACCAACTGCTGGACAACATATCTCAGGAAACAGGACTCCACCCCATTGAGTACTCATCCTTCATGAGCCACATGTTGACCACAGCTGGTAGAAGGCAGCTGCCTTACTTCCCTGGCTCCCTGTCAGCCCCACCCATGCTCCATCCCCTTTTGCGCCATTCTTCTTGGGCAGCATTTACTGTCCCCCCCTGGTGGAATACGCCACAAGTCTCCCTTCACACTCCTGAATCCTGCTTTCAGATAATTAATTGAAAGTCTGAAATAGATCTTTACCCAACAACTCCCTAGTGTCACTCAGTAAGAGCTCTTCTACCAACTGGATACCTTGTTGTTTGGCACATCTTAGTTTAGATTTTCTGCATGGCAGGTATTGAGGAAACTGATATAGGGGCCAAGGGAAAACTTCCCCTTCACTCTCTGAAGGTTCACTGAAAATCACTGACAAAAGGCAGACTTATAGGAGAAAAGGCATGCATATTTATTTGATCATAGTTTTACATAACATGGGAGCCTTCAGAATGACGACCCAAAGATACAGGGAAAACTTTCCATTTTGTGCTTAGGTTCAACAAAGTATGGACAGCCATGCAGAAATATGACTGGACAAAAGGCAAATGATCGAATGCTAACAGAGTGGAGAAATCCAGCAAGGGCTGTCTGTCTAGATTCTTCTTAGATTCTCTGTGCAATAGTTCTTCCTTCTGGTTATAGGGTAGGGCCCTCTGGAATTAGGGTCTTATGACCTACAACCAAACAAGATAAGCCAGATAATTTCTTTACAGCCAATTTTTACACAGAAAGGTAGAGGGAAGTTATAATACTATTTTTAGGTTTTATGGCTGGCTTTGAGGAAAAAGTTCTGGTTTCTATGTCCTGCCTTGGGGAAGAGAGATTCTAGTTTCTATGGGTCATCTCAGGGAAGAATGAGGAGTCAGAGGCAGGAGGGTGGGAGAAAGTCACAGAAAAATGTTTGCTTCTGAGACTTTCATTGTGTGGTACTGCTTTTTGAGCCCTACCACTGAGTAGCAGAGTTCTTTATCACATTCAGGTGAATTTCACAGGACAGTTTATCTAGTTGTGCCTGTGTTCTAGTAAATCTTAAGCATACTGAGTATAGATAGAAATTCATCTGTCTCCTAGAAAAGAGGAAAAGATTCAAATTGTGTTTAATAAGAGTATTTGTCAATCAAATATTAAATAGAGATGAGGCACTGTGCTAGTCTCCACCAAGGACACAAGGACATAAGTACTGAGCTATTCAGGCTCTGCCCTCCCTCTAATTTGTGGTCAATTAATTTCTTCTGATAGGTCCATTCTATCAAACACCTGGAGACCAAATCTTTTTTTTCTTTGAGACTAACTCTCTCTTGTCGCCCAGGCTGGAGTGCAATGGCGCAATCTCAGCTCACTGCAACCTCCTGATCTCAGCTCACTGCAACCTCCTGATCTCAGCTCACTGCAACCTCTGCTTCCAAGGTTCAAGCAACTCTCCTGCCTTAGCCTCCTGGGTAGCTGGGATTACAAGTGCCTGCCACCACACCTGGCTAATTTTTGTATTTTTAGTAGAGACAGGGTTTCTCCATGTTGGCCAGGCTGGTCTGGAACTCCTGACCTCAGGCAATCTACCCACCTCAGCCCCCCAAAGTGCTGGGATTACAGGCGTGAGCCACCGCACCAGGCTGAGACCAATTTTTACTACCCTCCAAATCTATCCAGGCCCTGACTTCAGCTTTTATTCCCCTGGAATTGCAAGTATATTCTACCAGGGGGACACCAAATGCCACCCAAGATGAATGGAACAAAAGGGGAGGGAGCCATGGGTGGGGCTGACAGGGAACCAGCGAGGTAAGGCAGCTTCCTTCTACCACCTGTGGTTGACATGTGGCCCTTGATAGATGAGCATTCAATGCAGTGAAGTCTTGTTTCTTGAAGTGTGTTGTCCACCAGTTGGTCCCAGCTCTTTGAACAAATTCCATGTGATACTCTCACTCTGTTTTTATGGTACCTGCCTCAATCAGACTCAAAGCAGTTGCACCCAATGTTTAAGGGCAAGTTCTCTGGAGTCACGCAAACTGGATTTCAATCACAGTTCTGTCAGTTTTCAGAAATATAATTTTGGATAAGCTACGACCTCTCTGATCCTCTCACTATACAAGGGTGATGATCACGGTCAGATGAGGCTGAGGCCAGTGAGGAGCCTAGCAAGCAAAATTTAAGGAGGTACTAACTCTCTAGGTTATATCAGTGCAGGGATTCCATGGGCACAACCCTGTAAAACAGTGCTTCCTTAAATTTAGCCCTAGGCATCACACTTGGCTCATCATATGAAGTAGAATTTAGCCTTATCATTCAACAATCAAGCCTCTACCTTATGTCTCAAATTTAAGAAGCAGATCTCAGTCATACCCCACCAAAGCTCACACATTTCCTGACTTAACCCCTCTCCTATCCCTGGGTAGACCTCATGGTGTAATGGAAAGAACCTGGAGTTGGAGGGAGGGAGGTCCACCTGGGAAAGCCTGAGCTGAAACAGAAAGTTTCTTGGTCTAAATACACCCTGTTGATACTAGTTAATGCTCAGATCACACAGATCACATGCCAGGGACTACTCTAAGTGCTTTATGTGGATTGACTCATTGAATCCTCACAGAAGCTCTAAGAGGCAGGCATGGTTATTATGCCTGTCTGATCAATGAAGAGATGTAAGGCACATGGAGGTTAAATTTCTTGTCCAAGATGTTACAACTAGAGAGTTGTGGAGCCAGGACAGCCTGGAAGTCCAGCTTAAGAGACTGTCCTCATAATGATGATGCTTCACTGCTACTCAGATAGAAGTGTTAAGGGTAATGACAACAAAAATAAAAATGGGGACGTATTTTATTGCAATAAAAGATAATTCCAAGGTGCCACAAAGAGTGAATTTAAAGACAAAGAGGTGGCCAGGCGTGGTGGCTCATGCCTGTAATCCCAGCACTTTGGGAGGCCGAGGCAGGCAGATCATGAGGTCAAGAGATCAAGACTAACCTGGCCCACATGGTGAAGCCCCATCTCTACTAAAACTACAAAAATTAGCTGGGTGTGGCGGCGCACACCTGTAGTCCCAGCTACTTGGGAGGCCGAGGCAGGAGAATCGCTTGAACCCGGGAGGTAGAGGTTGCAGTGAGCCGAGATCATGCCAATGCACTCCAGCCATGGTGACAGAGACTCTGTCTCAAAAAAAAAAAAAAAAAAAGATGAAGAGGTGATCAGGCATTGAGATAAATATCCAAATTGGTATTAGAACAAAAATTGGGCCTTAGGGGCTGGGACCAGTGTTTTGATACCCACCCAGGAGCAGGAACTAAGATCTCAGGCCTGCTTAAGGCAGAACCCTGGAACTACTCTCACTCCATAAAGGGCATAGCCTGACTTGTTGTTCTGTCCATGAGACAGGTGTTAGAAAAACAGCCCTGACTTTTATCTCCAGATGAAATAGATGACCAAAGAAATCTTTCTGACACAGAATTCATTAAAATTCTGAATAAAATATAAAAACTAAGGAAATCTCCAGAGGTTTGAAAGGAGGGAAAATATAGTTCAGAATGAAAATTATTATTTTTTTCTAAGACTATCTACCAATTTCTGGGGACCTACAACTTAAGATTTAACAAACCATGCACCCGAAAGAATGGTAGACAAAACTTAGGACTTTCTCAGAGGGGACGTTGAATTAAGAACCCATAAGTTAAAACAAGATCGTCATAGTGATTTAGGAGAAATAAAATAGAACCATAAATCTGCTTTTCAGAAAGCAATGTGGGAATGTTTGCTTTTTTCTGGATAAAGTAGATTAAGACCTCCCAAAGAATTTCTACCCACAAGCCCAGCTGCACATAAGTTTGGGTTCAGAATTCACATGTGAATATAATCCAAAAAAAATTCCAAACCAAAAATGTAGTTGAAAGTAGTCCAGTGTTTTAGTAATGCAGAATATAAGTAAAATCCTCTTTTGAGGAGTGTACTTTAACTCAGGTCTGTGAGGAATAACATTCCATGAAATATGTACTCACAGTAACAAATTACATAATGTATAGAAGCAAGTCACCATGATTAAGACTAAAAACAAGAATAACAACAAAACCCAGATTGCAGAACTGACTCATAAAGATGATCAGTCTTGGAATTAACATAGGCAAGAAAAAAAATTAGGATAGATAACATATTTAAAGAAATAAGCATTGAAAGTATGAAAAAAGATATCCTCTTTCTTCCCAAAAGAAACTATCAAAATTCGTCAGAAAAAAATGGAAAAAAATCAAATGGAACTTTTAGAAATAATAAATGAATAAATGAGAATTACAAACTATGAACAAATTAGAGGGCATGTTATATAGAGATGATGACAATCTTGATGAACTGGAAGATAGGTTTAATTAATTACCAAGATAGCAGTCAAGAAAGACAGAAAACAACAAATGTGAAAAAGAATTCAGGAGTCATAAAGTGTAGAGCAAGATGGTCTAACAATAATTAATTGGTGTTCAAAAGGAGATAATGGAAAGACTAGAGAAAAGGAGGTCATATTTTAAAAGGTCATTATCTGAAAAATTTTCAAAATCACTGAAAGGTATTACTTGGTAGGTACAGAATATAATAAATCTCAGAAATCAAAAATTCATATTACTGTCAAAAGGCCTGTAGACTGCTGACTTCTCATCCCCAAAAATGGAGACAAGAAGACAATGGAATAGTAAGTACTAAAAAAAAAAATTATCAATCTAGAATATATGTATTCAAAGAAGCCATCTTTCAAGAACAAGGGTTAAATCATTTTTAAAGGAAAACAAAAAATAATAATATTTAGTGCCAAGAAACCAAAATTTTCACTTCAAAAAGAAGAAAAGCAAGCTTCAAAAGAGGCAGGAGATTAAAGGAAGGATAGCAAGGGGAAAAAAGTAAATATGGATAAATATAAACAATCTTAGAATGTGGAAAGGAATAAAATTATGCCTTATTTGTGATGTTAAACAAGAACTAAAATAAACATCATTTTTATCATTTGAGGGCAAGCAGCATAAAACATTCTATAGTTCTTTAATTGTGCAAGAAGATAAACTTTAGATTTGTTTAAAGTTAAATATACATGTGAAAACTTCCAGCGTAACTGCTAGAAGAAGAGAAAGTAATACCTTTAATATTAGTCACCAGAAAAATAGAATATGGTAAATCTCGATTCACAGATGGCACAAAAGGAGATAAATTATAGACACAGAAATTTCAAACAAAAATAAAACACATTACCTTTACTTTCTTCTACTACTTGGAGAAAGAACAAGGAAACTTGTTGATCACCTTAGCTAGAGGAAGAGAAAGTCATCACTGAGTAGTTAGTGCTCCAATTCTGTGCCATGAAGCATGGAATCCAAATTAACACTGTCCATGTTGTTCAGGAACTCCAAACTAGAAAATGTGTGAAGAAGTTGGTCCAGACAGGTGAATTCAATAAGTCCTCCATACAGGCAAATGCTAAACTACTCAATAGGACGTCTCCATAAATCAGGACATATATAATAGAATTTACAAAGGAAAATAAGTGCCACTACAGATGAGCTTGTAGTAAAAAATTACAAACTTCGAAATGACTAAATTTCAGTGAGTGCTGTCAGACACAGCAAATGTTGGAGTCACACCCTGGGAACCATGAATAATAATAATAATAACTAACAGCACTATTTTGTAGATATGGTAACTCAGTGTCAGGGAAATTTATCTGTCTTTCTAGCCATCGGTACGTTACATTTTACCCAGCATTCTGACAAGTTTGGAGCCAAGGATAGATTGGGATGGGCTTTCAAGTTAAGTATGTTTAAAATATTCAAAGAGATGAGGGAAGAAAGAGAGTCAGTAATTTAATGGCACAGTGAAAAAAAAAAATACCAGCAGATTTGAGGAAGAACCAAATACAAATTGTGGCACTGAAACATATAGTAATAGAATAAATAGATAGGCCAAATGGTAAATTTCTAACTAAATTTCAGTTATACCACCTATTAGCTATCCTTGGGTTGAGTAAGTTTATTTCTCTGGGCCTTAGTTTCCACATTTATAAAATGGTCTCATAATATATAGCTCATAAAGTTACTGTAGAATTTAAATGAATATGCAAAGACTGGCATATAGTTGGTCTTAACCTTGTTCCTTTTTCATACTTCTGCCTGGTGTTTTGTTTAATAATTGATACTTGAATTTTCCACTACTAGATTGTAAGTTTTTCACAAGCAAGGTCTAGTACAAAGTTTGCATATAGAAGGTTCCGGATAAATACAATTTTATATGATAAAATATTATTAAACACACATAATATAAGGAAAGTAAAATATATTTTAAAATAAAAATAAAGAGAAAATCCAGGTAGAAAATGAAATAAATCTAGGAGAAATGTCAGTATCCAAATACACTAACAAATTCTGAACAATTGTCCCAAATTTGGATTTACAGTTCCTGGAATTCAGCCATACCTAGGTAGATCCAGAGTCAACAAGCTTTTTCTGTCAAAGACCAGAGAGTAAATATTTTAGGCTTTGCAGGTAATATAGTCTCTGTTGCAACTACTCAATTCTGCCATTATAGTGCCAAAGCAGGCACAGACAATATGTAAATAAATAAGCATGGCTTTGTTCCAATAAAACTTTATTCATAAAAACAGGCTGCAGACTGGATTCAGCCCACAGGACTTAGTTCGTCCAATTCTAAGATAGGCTACATTTTCTCTATACTCTTTTGCCATTTAGTCCCCACTTTTATTAGTTCTTATCACATGATATGGACATTAAAAATATATAATGGCCTCCACAATTAGATCATGAATTTCTCCAGATTAGGAACATGAATGATTCATTTTTGCAACCTTAGTAGTAGCAAGCAAAGGCTTGGCATGGAATAGGAAATTTAGAAATATTTGTTGTGGAAATGGATGCTTGAGGGGAGGGTCTAATTGAATCTCTACTGGTCTTAGTGACTTACTTGACAAATAGAATTTGACAGAAATGACATTGGGGAAGTTCTGAAGCTAGGACATAAGAAATCTTATAGCTTCTGCTTGGGTTTCTTGGAAACCCTGAGCAGCTATGTAAGAAGTCAGACTGCTCTGTGGAGAGGCCCTGAGACTACATGGAAAAGGAGAGTGCCTGACTAAGTCAAACCTTCCAGCCATCCCCATCAAGGCACCAGGCACGTGAACAAGCCATCTTGTATCCTGCAGCCCAGACCAGCTACCATGTGAATACCATGAGTGACTCAAGTTGATGCAGTATGGAGTAGAAGAATCATCCAGCTGAGCCCTGTCTCAATCCCTGACCAATGAAGTCATGAGATATCGTAAAATGGTAGTTAGTCTAGGCTACTACATCTTGGGGTACTTATATAGAATCAGATTACTGGAACATTTGGAGATATAAGCACACCATTGAGGTAAGCTCCATTCATGTTTCTGAGTACCACTGTCTAAGGGCGTTCTTCAGGCAGTACTCAGAGTTGTCCTGCCCTGCCTTTGTCTTTCTCAGAGGACTTCTGGCTGCTGTTCACCTTTGAAATTTGGGCTTCAGGACCTACACTAATCCCTACTGCTTCCCAAAGGTTTTGTGGACTCTCCCCAGGCCATGGTCAGCACTTTCTCCTCTGCATAGCAATAGCATGTGTTTCCTGTACCATCCTTTGAAAATTCTGACATGACTGTTGCCTAAAATTGTGTTTAAATCTTACCTGGGCTTTTACATTTTTCTGTTCCTGTATTTGCAGGAGATTGGGCTGTATGACATCTGAGCTCTCTTCTAGCTCAGCAATTCCAGGATTACATCTAAGATATGTGAGCACTTACTCTAATCAGATCTGAACTTCTTCTTTTTGGAGATTTTTCAGGGATAAGGCCTGGGACAATCATCTTTTTAAGAGAGTCTTTCTCAGTCACCCAGGCTGGAGTGCAGTGGCATGATCTCAGCTCACTGCAACCTCTGCCTCCCGGGTTCAAGTGATTCTCATGCCCCAGCCTCCCAAGTAGCTGAGACTATAGGCATGCACCACCACCATGCATAGCTAAGTTTTGTATTTTTAGTAGAGACAGGGTTTTCTCATGTTGGCCAGGCTGGTCTCAAATTTCTGACCTCAACTGATCCACCCATCTTGGCCTCCCAAAGTGCTGGGATTACAGGTATAAGCCACTGCGCCTGGCCTGTTCTGCCTTTATATGGGATGAGCACGAAAGCGGCCTTGCAGAAAGAAATACACATCTCAGACTCTGGAACCAAGCAGACAAAGCCTAGGTATTTCAAGGTGCTCTGAGGATCACTAGGGATGATCACTTGGAGATCTCCAGCACCTGGAGACCTTGGGAAGTGGAGGTCGTGCATAGCCTCTCCTATCAGACGAGGGGCCCTCAGGCCCAGCTCGCAGGTTGCTAGGCAAACTGGAGAGAGCTCAGCAGGGTCACTGGGTCATTCTTGTCTGCACAGGGACGAGAAGGATACGCCTCCTTTCCCTCTCATGTCCACCAAACCTTGGTCTCTTCTATTTTGCCCTATAGTCTAAAACAATCCTAAACCCCCGCCTTTGTGTTGTCAGGCCCCATCCCCCACCAGCTTTGCCCAATGGAGAACAAACATGCTCTGTGCCTCATCCATGCTGTCAAGAATTTCTTTTTCTCACACTCTGCATCCTTGAGCAGTCCCTTCATGAAACCACAGCAGATGTTTCTCAGTCCTTTCATTTTCTTTTTTCAGAGGAATTGTAATCGGCTGCGCTTTAATTAGGATCTCCCCGAGGATACTTCGGCTTTCTTCCACACCCGGGAGTTTGCAGATTCCCTCTTAGTGCACCAGGCTGATTAGATTTCTTAATTCCCTAAAATATGCTGTCTCGAAGCCTAATACCCCTGTAGGGATGAGGTCTGTTTCTCTGCCTCTCCTCCCATTACAGTGCTAAATCCAGGCAGTGGTCTCCCTTACGGCACTTGCTTCTTCCCTGGCTCCGGACCCCTTTTTTGGATGGGTAAGTGGTCTCTTAAAAGCAACCTCTCTTTGCATGAACAGCCTCACGGAAGCTGAAAAGTGCCCTCTGCACAGATTTTTAAAGTCCTCTCCTGGGCACTAGGTTGGCACCAGTCTCCTGAGTTGGATCTAAATTGGGGTGGATACCTAGCATAAGCCTTGTTCAGGTTTAGTTGTAGCTTCTCATTTATTCACAGTGAATTATTGCATGAATTTTTATTGTGCTACTGACATGTGCCGTGGCGATATAATGGCTAACATCGTTCCTAATTTCATGGAAATGACAGAGATCAATAAGTGAAAAGATAATTGAATCCCATGTGATGCTGTGAAAAGTGCTTTGCACAAAGCACGACTCCTTGGCAGGTGTTTAAGTCTTTGAGGTACAGAGAAAGATTTATGGGAAAAGCAACGTCTAAATTGAGACTTGAATAGTAAGTAAGAGTTTTTGGAAGACTGAGAATGGGATGAGAAGGTATGGTAGAAGAGAGGAGAGCATTCTAGGCAAAGGGAGGACCCTAAGGTAAGAGACAGTGAGGCTTGTCCTGGGACCTGCAAAAAACTCTTTGTTGCTGGAGTGCAGTGCAATGAGCAGGGAACTAGGGCTAGAGGGAGCGGAATGAGGAGTGTTGAGAGATGAAGATGGAAAGGTAGGCAGGTGCCAGAGCATGCAGGAACTTGTGAGTCTTGTGAAGTCATTTGTGCTGCATCAGGTAGAGGTGGGTACCCTCCCTTATTTCTTTAATAGTGTGGAGATTAGCACCTGGCACATCCCAGGAATTGGGAAAGCCGCTGAGTACTCACACTGTAGTTAAGGCTGGTCCTGGCAGCAGATGCCACTGAAACCTAAAACATACACCATCTCTGCTCTTTGAAGCCTGCAAACCTTCTGACAAAGAAGCAGCCTTGAAAAGACAAAATGGATCCAGCAGGGAATTAGACAGAAAATATTTACAGACTCGGTGAACCAAGAGCTGGGTGTTCCGGGCTGTTGAAGAAAATGGAGTAATGGGATAGAAGCTGCTTTCAACTTCCTGCTGTAAGTATCACCACCACCACTTCCAAGCATGGTCCAATATCCACCCTAGGTGGATGCTATTGTTTTTTTGTTGTTGTTGTTGTTTGTTTTTGCTTTTTGTGTTTTGTGTTTTTTGAGATGGAGTCTCACCCTGTCGCCCAGGCTGGAGTGCAATGGCGCAATCTCGGCTCACTGAAACTTCCGCCTCCCGGATTCACATGATTCTCCTGCCTCAGCCTTCCGAGTAGCTGGGATTACAGGCACCCGCCACCACACCCAGCTAATTTTTGTATTTTTAGTGGAGATGGGGTTTCACCATGTTGGCCAGGCTGGTCTTGAACTCCTGACCTCATGATCTGCCCACCTCGGCCTCCCAAAGTGCTGGGATTACAGGCGTGAGCCAATGCACCCAGCCAGATGCTATTATTAATACGTGCCACAGATATATGGGTTGCCTTTTTTATTTTAGGAAGTTTTAAAAATCCACAGTTTGTCTCAAAATCTTTTTGGGCTAGAAACCAGAAGAATGGAAGAAGGAGGCAGAAAGGGCAGTTGTGTTTGTTATTTTTTGTGTGTCCATATTCAGGGTAAAGCAGAGGAATCAAGCTCTCCATTCCTTTCTAGGAGGACCCAAGGCCAGGAAAAAAGAAAATTTTTGGATATCAGAAATCAGAACAGGCCTGGAGTTGGGGAATAAATTAGGAAAGACACGGACTCAAGCAAAGGAAGACATCAGAAGTAGAGGTTGGCCAAAGGACAAAACTACAAAGCAGCAATTGCAGATTGAATCAAATCATCAGCTACTGGACATTACAACATTCACCATGGAGAGTAACAATAATATGCATTTATCAGAACTTCACTATGTGCCAGGCACAACATTTTATGGAAGATGAACAGGTAGATAGACAAACAGATATGAGTACATAGCTAGGTAAGTTGGTAGATAGGTAGCAGGATTCTCTGTCTCCCTATTCCTTCTGGTAAGAAGATAAAAGCTAATGACTTCAAAAGCATAACTGTGCATTCAATATTCATAGAAAGGGTCTGTGTGTGGTAGGAAAGAGACACAGGACAGGCATGCTTGTCAATTAAAAGATTACGGTAGTGTGGTAAACTAGCCTTATAAGCCTGGGTGAGGATTATTGGTGCAGTATTAACCCTCACAGGAATAGATACCCAGTTACGTTTTACTACTCCAGGCTGTTGAAGACAACTGGAATAAAAAGTCAAGGCAGTGGCCAGATGCAGTGGCTTAAGCCTGTTATCCCAGCACTTGGGGAGGCCGAGGTGGGCAGATCACCAGAGATCAGGAGTTTGAGACTAGCCTGGCCAACGTGGTGAAACCCCACCTCTACTAAGAATACAAAAAATTAGCCAGACATTGTGGTGAGTGCCTGTAGTCCCAGCTACTCAGGAGGCTGAGGCAGGAGAATCACTTGAACCTGGGAGGCAGAGGTTGCAGTGAGCCGAGATCGCACCATTGCACTCCAGCCTGGGCAACAGAGCGAGACTCTGTCTCAAAAAAAAAAAAAAAAAAAAAAAAAAATCAAGAAGGAACCCAAGGCAGATGGTTCTCAAGTCTTCCCCCTATGCCACTTCGCCTTTGCAGTTTTCCATCTCCTCCACCCAGCAACAGAAGCAGATGCAGGAATCCTGAGATACAAAAGGAGGCTGAAAACTCGATAATTGCTAGGGAATAATGATAGTCTAAGAAAGAAGGAGAGTAGGAGGGAAGGGGGCTTGGTGAGAAAGATGGGAGTCTGCTCCACATTCTTCCCTGGCTGGGAGATTGTCTGCAAGGGCACCTGGAGGCTGGCAGCTGGTACTATGAGCTGCTATTAAAGCCCTGTTATCCAGAATGATTAGAAACAGCTAGTTGAAAAGATGGTTAGAGAAATCTTTTAAAAATGAAATATACATACCCTAAAGCTTTTGTTTCAACCTAAAACATATGACTGCATATTTGTTTGCCTTTTACCATAGGGCCCACACCGTTCTTTGAGCCAGGGCCTGCAAATTGGATATCCCGATCTTCTTTTATGAACCTCCTTTACATTTCAATTCTAGTTTAAAATCTTTCAAAATGGGATGAGGATGTCAAGAAACACATGAAGCAATCTGAGTGAACAATCACTTCCCATTTTACCATTGTTTTCCAACTGCTTAGTATTACCTCACATACATCTGATGGCACAGCATTTTTAAATAACTTAGCTTTTTCAAGCTTCTCCAACTAATTTCACTTAGTTTCTTGGAGACACTGCTCTATTTCCTCGTACATGCACATTTTATCAACTTATATAATATCTAATTAGGTTAAAGTAACAAGAGTAGCAGGATATCAAATAGGACTTTCACTGTTAACCCAGAATTAGCTACTAAAACTCAAAGCAAATGGCAAAGTAGCCTCTAGTCACCCACATTCTAAAGGAAAATGAGAGTATTAGGAGGCCACACACACCCCCTTCAGGGTATCAAGGGGAGGCTAAAACCCCCAAACCTTCATTCTATATAAGTAGATGAATGACTGGAGGAAGAGATGGAATTCTAGGATATCAGCAGGACAATGACATGTGTGGGGGTCTATTTATTCCCTTCCTCCCCACAATGGGAGCAGAAGAGTCACTCCTCATTTCACAACATGAAAGGAAGACTCTTAGGCATCCCCAGTAGAGACTGGGGGTACGTGCAATGATGATAGTCTAGCACTTTGTTCTTTGGTTGGAGGATGGCTGGACATCATACTTTCTGATCTGCCCCTGCTCCATGCCTATTTGAGCAGAGGGAGAACAACATTTGGAGAAATACCAGGGCAACGAGGAGGAACCAGCAGGAAAAGGTGCACTCCCACAGTTGAGGATGATGAGCCTCTGTGGGTTTGTGGACACTAAAGACTGCAGCCAGGAGCTTGGGACCAGAGCTGGTTACTGGTGAGGGGTCATCCTTAGCAAAAGTCTACAAGCTGGAATATAGGCCATGAGCTGAGGGACGCCTATCTTGGACCTATGCATGTACCTCTGTAGCGAGTCCACATGGAAGTGCCTACCACACAAAGGGCATCTCTGGGAATCAGTGATGGACACTTGGCCTGTAGCATGATTCATTTTCCCCTTTTCCAGCTTGTACCCCTAGAGTTAAAAAGAACAGATGTTGTAATCATTGTGAAGAGGAAAGGAAGTACTTTTAGAAACTGTCTGTAAAACACATATAAATATATAGACACCTAACAGTAAAAATAATGATAGCAAATCTTTCTATGGCACCTAATAGGCACTATTCTAAACACTTAACCTATGTTAATTCATTTCTAAATATTGATGCTTATATTGATATTTAGGAATATATATAAGAACATACATAGACATATGTATGCCTTTTAGCCTGTAAAAATGAAACTTATTTATTCAAAAGTGGGCACACAAAGCACTGTTAGTTGCTTACTCAGCAGCCCCCTCCACCATTCCTTTTTTTCTAACAGAACTCAATTTTATTCTGGGTAGCCACATGCCCATCCCCAAGTGATGAATCATGATTGTTCTTCTCTTTGCCATATGACCCTGCTTTTTTGAAATAGGTGAAAAGTTTTCAGAAAAGTTTTGCTTTCCTGATTAAAGGGACGGATTGCTGGAGCTCTTCCTTCCTCCTTCTTACCCCTTGGACACAGATGTGGCATCTGGAGCTTCAGCAACCATTTTGCATTTATTAGGTAATAAGTATGAATAGGCAAAGCAAGCCTGCTAAGGATAGTAGAACAGAAAGATTAAAAGACACATAGTCTTTGACTGTATTACACAGCAGCTGAACCAACAACACACTTCTAAATGGGAGGGGCAGAAAGTGGGTATTGTTTAAACCTGGGTTACGTTTCATGTTATTCACAAATAAAACATTCATAATTAATAATATTCATCCCCAAATAGACATATACCTAAATTACAATATAAAATAGATTTAATAGATTTTAAAGCCCCTCTATTTTATTTAGTTGTATATTTAAGTGTATTATATCAGTGATCCAATGTAAGTGGACAGAACTGTGTCAATTGCGGTGGCCGGCACCTGTAAGTCCCAGCTACTTGGGAGGCTGAGGCAGGAGACTGGCGTGAACCCGGGAGGCGGACTCGTAGTGAGCCAAGATTGTACCACTGCACCCCAGCCTGGGCAACAGAGCGAGACCCCATCTCAAAAAAAAAAAAAAAAAGAAGGCCTTTTCAGAATAGTTGAAATGAATTCTTAAGAGTAATATATAAGTAGCACTCTAACCATGAACACTAACTAATATATAACTACTATATATATATATATATATATATATATATATATATGAAATCACAGGGCTTTACCACAACAAATAAAATTGTATCTCATTTCTCTAAGCACCTCTGTTCTAATTAGAAGAAGACAAGATTAAAAATGACACAGATTTAATTATTGTAGCTTTGTGAAACATTTTGAAATTAGGAAGTATAATGCCTCTAACTTAGTTTTTCTTTCTCAAGATTGTTTTGGCTATGCGGGGTCTTTTGTGACTCCCTTTGAACTTTAGAATTGTTTTTCCTATTTATGTAAAATATGCCATTGGCATTTCTATAAGTATTGCATTGAATCTGTAGATTGCTTTGGGTAGTATGGACACTGTAATAATATTAAGTCTTCCAATCCATTAACCCAGAATATCTTTCCATTCATTTGTGTCTTCTTTAAGTTCTTTCATCAATGTTCTATTGTTTTCCATGTACAAATCTTTCACTTCCTTAGTTAAGTTTATTCCTAAGTATTTTATTCTTTTTGATGCTATCATAAGTGGAATTATTTTCTTAATTTCCTTTTTAGGTAGTTTATTGTTAGTGTATAGAAATACAGCTGATTTTTTATGTTGATTCAGTGTCCTGCAATTTTACTGAATTTTTTTATTAGTTCTGTTTTGTTTATGTGTATGTGTGAAGTCTTTAGGGCTTTCTAATTATAAGATCATGTCATCTGTAAACAAAAAATTTTACTTCTCCCTTTCCAATTTAGATGCCTTCATTTCTATTTCTTGTCAAATTGCTCTGGCTAGGACTCCCAGTTCTATGTTGAATAGAAATGACTAGAGCGGGCATCCTTGCCTTCTTCCCTATCCTACAGGGAAAGTTTTCAGCTTTTCATCATTGAGTATGATGTTAGCCATGGGCTTTTCACATACGGCCTTCAAATTGGTGAGTTAAAATCCTTCTTAGTCCTAGTTTGTTGAGAGAATTTTTATCATGAAGCAGTGTTGAATTCAGCCAAATGATTTTTCTGTATCAATTAAGATGATCATATGATTTCTTTCCTTCATTCTATTAATGTGCTGTATCGTTGTATCACATTAATTAATTTTTGTATGTTAGACAATTCATACATTTCAAGGATAAACCCAACTTGGTTATGGTGTATGATCCTAAAACTACTCGGGAAGCTGAGGCGGGAGGATCACTTGAGCCTAGGAGGTAGAGACTGCAGTGAGTTGTAATTGCACCACTGCACTCCAGCCTGGGCAACAGAGCAAGACCTTGTCCAAAAGAGAGAGAGAAAAAAAAAGAAAACAGAAAAAGAGAGAGAGAGAGATGACCAATGGAACAGAATGGATAACCCAGGAATAAAGCCATGTGTATACGGTTAACTGATCTTTGACAAATGCGCTAAGAATACACAATGGGGAAAGAAAAGATAGTCTCTTCAACAAATGCTGTTGAAAAAACCCTGCTTTTTTCTTACTCCACACACAGGAGTCAACTTAAAATGAATTAAAGACTTAAAGATAAGACCTGAAAGTTCAAAACTCCTGCAAGAAAACATAGGGGAAAAGCTTTATGGCATTGGTCTTCGCAGTGATTTCTTAAATATGATACCAAAAGCACTGGCAACAAAAGCAAAAGTTAACAAGTTGTACTACATCAAACTAAAAAGCTTCTACACAGGAAAGCAAACAATTAATAGAGTGAAAGGCAACCTAAGGGATGGAAGAAAATATTTGCAATGCAAACCATATATCTGCTAAGAAGTTAATTTCCAAACTATGTAAGGAACTTCTATAAGTCAATAACAAAAGCAAACAAATAACCCAATTAAAAATGAGCAAAGAGGCTGGGCACAGTGGCTCATGCCTGTAATCTCAGCACTTTGGGAGGCCAAGGCGGGTGGATTACCTGAGGTCAGGAGTTTGAGACCAGCCTGGCCAACATGGCGAAACCCCATCTCTACTAAAAATACAAAAAATTAGCCAGGCATGGTTGCAGGCACCTCTAATCCCAGCTACTCAGGAGGCTGAGGCAGGAGAATCGCTTGAACCCAGGAAGTGGAGGCTGTAGTGAACTGAGATTGAGCCACTGCACACCAGCCTGGGTGACAGAGTGAGACTTCGTCTCAAAAACCAACCAACGAACAAAAAAAAGAACAAAGAACTTCAATAGACATTTGTCCAATGACATACAGATGACCAAGAGGTATATGAAAAGATGTTTATCATCACTAACCATCAAGGAAATACAAATCAAAACCATATAAGATATCAACTTACACTTGTTACAATGGCCGTTTTCAAAAAAACAAACAAACAAAAGGTAAAAGGTAGCAAGTGTTGGCAAAGACATGGAGAAATGAGACTTTTGTATATTGTTAGTGGGAATGCAAAATGTTTCAGCTGCTATGGAAAACAGCATGAAGGTTTCTCAAAAAGCTAAACATAGAATACCATATTCCAGCAATTCCATTTCTAGGTATTCATCCAAAAGAATTGAAATCAGGTTCTCAAAGAGATGTTTACACTCCCACATTCATTGCAGCATTATTTGCAAGAGCCAAGATGTGGAAACAACCTAAATGTTCATTGATGGATAAAAGATGGATAAAGAAAATGTAATAAATGTGTGTGTGTGTGTGTGTGTGTGTGTGTGTGGTTTATTTACATATACATATAATGGAATATTGTTCAGCCTTGAAAAAGAAGAAACCCTGCAATATTCATCAATGTGGATGAACCTGGAAGACATTATGCTAAGTGAAATAAGCCAGTCACAGAAGAGCAAATATTGCATTTTTCCACTTATATGAAATATCCAAAATAGTCAAATTTATAGTACCATAAAGTAGAATTTTGGTTTCCAGAGTCTAGAAGAAAAAGGAAATAGGTAATTGCTATTCAACAGATTCAGTTTCAGTTTTGCAAGATGACTATGTTCCAGAGATCTGCTGTACAACATCATGCCTGTAGGTAATGATATGATCTTGTCCATTTAAAAATTTGTTAAAAGGCTAGATTTCATGTTAAATGTCCTTACCACAATAATAAAAAGAGTGAAACAGAAGAGGTGTGCATAGTAGCTGGGTTTCCTTAAAGCAAAAGAGAGAGAAAGGGAAAGATTTAGAATTGAAAAAGAATACGTGATTTAAAAAAATAAAAAGATTCCTTCAATACTAGTTAGGAATAAATAGTAAGAGAAGTCAAACTACATGTTGGTCTTCATTAACTTTTGCTACCTCAGCCTTCAGATCAAGCCGTACAGGGTGGCTGATGTTAATTCACATTGTGCTTTTTCAAGCACCCTGTGTGTCTGTCTCCATTTTGGTGAAGATTTGCATCCAGCCCCAGGCTGGAAGGTACTCTCAGTAAATATTAACCGCTTGGCCCTAATGCACCTGAATGGACCATTCTTGACACAAATTAATGTGCTCTGAGGAAGGATTCATAGAACCTTCAAATTTTGAAAAGTAGAAGCCAGAAAAGTGTCTTGATCAAATCTCTTTTGATTGCAAATAATACAGCCCAACTCAAGCCAGCATTTAAAAAGGGGTCGAGGAGTGGCTGTTTGTGGTTCATTCAAAGGAAAAGATTTGTATTTAGTTTTAAGTAAGGCTAGATCCAGTTAGTCAGACAATGTTGACAGGATCAGTTTCTATGCCTTAACTCTGGTCTTTATTGCATTTGCTTAATTATCAGCCATGTCCTCACCACACTGGTAGAAGCAGCAGGGCCAGAGTGCAGAAGCTCCTGGAAGCTCCATGCTTACATGATCCAAGCTTCTAGGCAAATAGAAAGAGAAATTCTCTGTTCCAGAAGTCATACAGAAGTTCTATAACTGTATCTCACTGATTTTCAGATTGGGTTACAGGCCCATCCTGAACCAATCGTGGTAAAAGAGAGATCATGTTATCAGTGACTGAGCTGGGAGTAGGTACCTTTCCCTGGGGCTAGGGGTTATATCAGCTACCTATGACACAATGACTGAGTAGGCTGGGAGTGCTTTCCTAAAATATTGGACACTGTAATAAAGAGAAGGGGAATGGGTCCATCGTAGGAAAACTCAGATGTCTTATACAGATAAAGAAAGTTATTGAATCACCATTAACTGAGTGTGTACTATGTGGCTGAGGAAGCTATGAGCATTGAGTCTTTTAATCTACACCACACTTGCAGAGGTTGATGTAATTATCCCTATTTTACAATAGAAGAAACTGAGATGTGGAATATTTAGAAAACGTTTTCCAGCATCACGAAACTAGTAAGTCAAGTTGCAGAGACTCTAACACAACATACACATTTCATCCTAATGTGTCCACTCTCTGGTGTTTTGCCTTCCATTGCCCCATATATAAACCCACCAATGAGTCAAGCAAGTTCCCGTTCAGTCTGAGGTGGGACAAGCCTAGTGCTTATCTTCTGTTCTGCTTGGGGTCAGCAGGTTATTTCAAAGGCGAGTTGAGAATGAACAGTACCTTGAAGTGGGAACAGAGTTAGTAAATTGAGAAGAAAAGATACAAACAATATTGTGAATATTGAATATTCTAAATCTGTAAAAAATGTACCAAAAGAAAAAAGACTGGAATCATAAATCCAAAAAGGATGAGAATAAGGGCTTCAGGGAGTTAAGATTTGAGGAATTATTTTCTTCTTTAGATTTTCCTGATCTTTCCAAACATTCTACCATGAGAGTGATTTATTTTTAATCAGAGAAAAATCTATTTAAAACAATCTTGCAAGTATAGGGTGAAGAAAGGTAAAATAACCTCTATGATATTTGAATCGGGTTGATAAGCTGGAGAAAGCTGTAAAGATCTTGTCAGGTTTCTGTGAATAAATTTTTTTTAAAAAGGAAGCATTGGAGTTAATAGCAAATTCTCTGCATGAACAGAAGTTAATATTTTCATGCCCTCCAGCACTCAGGGACCAGCAGCACACAGTGCATGTATATATATTAACAACCTGGACATGGGTACAAATAGCAAGGTTGAAAAACTCGCTGACTCAGGTTGGTGGAGATGAAGCAAGGACAAACTTGGAGAATTCTTCCTGGAAGATTTTGAACTTCTAGGATTGTAGGCAGAAGAAAAGGTGAGCAGTGGATCCAGGGGAAAGAAAGGAAATAGGTTCTTCCTCTGGGGTGCAGGGCCCTGAACAATTCTTAGTGGGGAAGGGATCCTAGTTATCACCTACATTAGTCTGTGTTCTCTAGAAAAGCAGGATAGATAGATAGATAGATAGATAGATAGATAGATAGATAGATAGATAATAAATAGATGATAGATGGATGGATGGATAGATAGACAGACAGATAGATATTCTGTCTCTCAAAAACATCAAACTCAAATTGAGATATATTCTATAAACAACTGCCCTGTAAGAGAGGGAGAGGGAGAGACAGAGAGAAAGAGAGAGAGAGATTTAGGTATGGTCTGAGACAGATTTAGGTAAAGTCTGAGAGCTGGAGAGCTTGCAGATTTAGGTATAGATTCCAGTCCAAGTCCGAAGGTCTGAGAACCAGGAGGAGCACCAAGGGTAGATCAATGTTCTAGCCAAGCAGTCAGGCAGAAAGAGAAAGAGAGAGACTCCTGCCTTTCATCCTCCTTTTGGTTCTATTCATCCTTTTTCATTCTTTATTTTCTATTCAGGCCCTCAGTGGATTGGATAATACCCACCCACACTGGGGAGAGCCATTCCCTTTACTCAGTCTAACGATTTGAATGCTAATTTCTTCTGGAAACAGCCTCACGGACACACTCATAAATAGCATGTAACCAGATACCTGAGCATCCCATGATGCAATCAAGTTGAAACACACAATCAGTTATCATTCTCCCTGAAACCCCTTTACCCTGTGAAATCGAAGAATATAATCTTCATCACAATCAGAGCCCCTTGGATTTCCATTACACATCACAGTTTGCAAGCCACTTTCTCATTTGCTATCTCATCTGATTCCTGCCATCTCTTCATTGGGCTAGAATAGCAAGAGGAGCAAATCTCTTAAAAGTTTGGTTGTGACTGTCTCACATCAGAAGATAAAGAAAACAGAAAGCTTCAAGCTATGTTTTATGTTCATGTTCTGAACTGAAAGTAGTGTTTTAAGAAAGTCAAAGTGGTCTTGGAATTTCTAGCAATGGCTAAACTAAGTGTGTGCCTTTGTGCTATTGGTGCTTGTTGTACTAAGAAAAAAAAATGAAGTTGAGTCATTAAGAAAGAAGTCTCCCTCCACTAATGAATAAACCGGTGATCATATGCTGCCCAACAGACAAACTGGGAAGGACACAGCATCATTTTTGTGGTATTCCTGCTGAAAAAAAATCATAACCTCATGAATCTAGTCATCAGGCAAACTCAAATTGAAATGTACTCTATTATAAGCAACTGGCCTATATATACTCTTCAATAATAATTCATGAATGATAAACTGTGAATAACTGTTTCAGATTAAAAGACACTAAAAAGATAGCAACAATTTAATGTGCCACATGATTCTAGGTGGAATTCTAGACCAGAAATTGCTTTGGCTATAAAGTACATTATTAGGATAATTGGTGAAATTTGAATAAGATCTGTAGGTTAGATAAGTATCATTAAATCAATGTTAACTTTCTGATTTTGGTCATTGTACTCGATTATGTAAGATAATGTCTTTCTTTTAAGGAAATACTTAAGTATTTGGGGTAAAGAGACCTCACGCCTGTAACTTGATCTCAAATAATTCAGAAATAAATACATAGATAGATAGATACATACTTACAGAGTAACGGATATGGAATGGCAAAGCTAATGGGTAAAGAGACAAAGAGACAAAGCTAACGGGTACAGATACATAGATATAGATATAGATATAGATATAGATATAGATATAGATACAGATATAGATACAGATATAGATATATAGATATAGAATGATAAAGAATATTCATAATTGGGGAACTGTGAATACAAATGGTAGAAGAATTATTTATACTATTTTCTTGCAATTTTATGTAAGTTTTAAAGTATTTCTTTTTAAGTTTAAAAAGAAGGGAAAACAAAACAAACAAGCCCTCATTTCTGTGAGGGCAAATTTGGGATGGATGGGAGGTAAAAAGCAAGTCGCCTTCTCTTTCTGATTAAAGACGCAGGAAGAAGACAGGTGGTTGAATGTGGTCACATGCAGCACTGATGAGGTGTACATTCTGCTTGTTTGCTTGACTTGACTCTGTTCTTTTCCCCTCACAAAAACCACTGTCTGAGAGCACTCACTATAGTCACATGAGCCTCCAGTCACACCTGCTCCTGGAGAGACACCCTCTAGCCCATGAGACTATCATACCCCAGAACCAAGGATTGGAGAAGAGGAGGAATGAGCTACATATGATTCTCTAATAAACGGACATCAGTCTTAAGAGTATGAATGTTAAAAGCACTTATTTCAACTTGTCCGTGCGGATGGGTTGCTAAGGATGGTAACAAGCTGCTTTTGTAACTGAAACAATGGAACTTGCCAGTGAGCTGGCTGTGATGTCTAACACTTGAGCTATAGCAAAATGGCCCGACAGAGCCTGAATGATCCTGTCTTCAGCCTAAACAAAATGGATAGACCACAGAAACCCTGCCTCTGATAAGAGGCCAGTGTGGTGCGCAGACTAGGACAACATCTGAGGAAACTGGCACACAGAGACTTGTTGAATGACTTGTGAAACTTGTTCAGATGGGTGTAGTGGCTCATGCCTGTAATCCCAGCACTTTGGGAGGCCGAGGCGGGTGGATCACCTGAGGTCAGAAGTTCAAGACCACCCTGGCCAACATGGTGAAACCCCATCTTTACTAAAAAACACACAAAAATTAGCTGGGTGTGATGGTGGGTGCCTGTAATCCCAGCTACTCAGGAGGCTGAGGCAGGAGAACTGCTTGAACCCGAGAGGCAGAGGTTGCAGTGAGCTGAGATCACGCCATTGCACTCCAGCCTGGGTGACAAGAGCAAAACTCCGTCTAAAAAAAAATGAAAGGGAATAGAACGAGCTGCAATGTAATACACTGCGATACAACATGATGTGATGGAATTATACAACAGGACAGACACTGTCAAGCAGATAATAGAACATAGGTGACAACTCCTAACATTCATGGCATGAAACAACCTTGACCTGGATGGTGTTCTGCATACTCAAAACTGTAAGTGATTTAGTTCCATGTTCTTCTTCCATATTTTCTTCTCAGCTGAGAAGAGAAATTTATAATATAAATATTTGAGTTTCCAGTCAGAAAGATCTAGATTTTTCTATCCTGGCTTTACCCTTTGCCAGCTTGAAAACTTTGGGAAATTCATTCATGTCTTTAAATTCCAAACCCCTCAATGGGGAAAATATGCTTGGGTCACAGAGCTTTAAAGAGAAAATCTGAGACATATAGTAAACATCAAAGTGCCCAGAAGACACGTTGGCACACAGAGGTACAAAATACTTTTTATTCTGACTGTCCATCTTTACTTTCTCAGCATTTGTCTACAGCACACATTGTGTCCCAGAGGGACTAGAGAGTTGGGCCCTCTGGAAGGCCCTCATTTCACCTTTAATCACTAGGTAACTGACCACATGTGGCTTGAGTCTGGGATCATGAATGGATGGGGCTCCTTCTGGAACGTTATCCTCTTACACACCAAGTGAACATTTTGGAAATATTTTTATCCAAATGGATGACAAAAACAGTAGTGAATATAATGGAAAATATCCTGATATGAACCCCTTCCTTTCTTAACTAGGCCACAAAAATGAGGCACCCTTATTCATAATGGGAAGTGATGCTTTGTTGCATTTGACAATTTTTGATTTTATATTTATTCTTTTTTTATAGTGTCTGTCTCCCCTTTAGACTGTAGTCACCATGAGGCAGGAATGATACCTCATTCATCAATTCCATAGTGCCTACCACAGTGTTGCCAGTGCATGGTAAATGCTAAATAAATGTGTGAATAAATGAATGAATGAATATAATTTTCTAGGTTTGGAGGGGCTTCTTAGAAGTCACTTGGAGCACTCTGTGTCTATTGTCTGGATTATACCCATAGAAATTCCACCTGTCCCTTCAATTCTAAAATATTATCCATGAAAAATTTCTAATCTTGCCCAACCTTAGTTCCCTAGGACTAATCATGGAAGGATTTGCCTCCAACCTCCTAGGGTGCAGCCAAGTTGGAAGACATTCTCTGTGTCCCGATTCTCAAAAGAGGAAGATGAGGCTCCATTGGATTGGACCAGGAATTATGTGCTGGGGTGAGGCTGTCATCTCCAGCCTTTTACCTGTGCAATAAAGTGACCAAGTAGGAGAGGAACTTGGAAGCCAGAGAAGACCTGAACAGGAAGAGTGAGATGTCAAAATCCACCTGGAGAAGAGAGTAACATGAGTTCCTACATCCTGACTAAGATAGCTCCAGGGAGGTGAAATTGTGGGTTCTAGAGTCAGATAGACTGGGTCTGAATCCCAGATCCACCAAGTAAGTGCTCTGGGACCTCAGAAACACTCCATAAATCACGTGTGCCTCAGTTTCCTTCTCCTTCAAATGGAACAGGACAATATAGTACACAGGATTACCATAAATGAAGTAATATGGTAAATAAATTCAAACAGAACCAGATTCATAATAAGCATTCAATCTTTGCTCTTTTTATGGCTATCCAGGGTAAAGAACAAGCCTGTGTCAACAAGAGACTGAATAAGAAACCCTCAAGGAGGAGACGTGGGAGTTGCCTTCATTCATTGGATAGAGTGCCGCAGGACAGGATGCTCTGAGAGGCCAGCACCACACCCTCTTGACCATGCTGTAGCCATAAATGTTCCAGAGGCATCTGAGAAAACCACTGCAGAATACACAGAGCACAGCTGCATTTTGTCTGCTCCACCTACAACAGGGTTTGCTCTACCCTGCCATATCAGAGGCTCCTGAAAAGACCAACTCACAGCACCACAGGATGTGATTAAGCCTTGGAGAAGATTAATTACCCACTTTCTTAGGAGTCGGTCTCTCCTCCCCACTCACTCAAGTTCCTTTACCCCCCACTAAGCCTCTGAAAGAATCTAACATCATAAACAAGGATCTCATTAGCAACTTGAATTCGGGCTGCAGATCTTTTGTGAAGATTTGGTTACAGATGCTGCTTTAACTTCTGAGGATTATTCTTCAGCATCCAGAGAGACTCCAGTTGCTCCCCTGGGAAATGTTCCCTCACTTGAATAACTCATCTGTTCACCCATTGGCATAACTGCTGCCAGTTCTAAGCACCTGCTGAGGAGTGGACCCAGATTAGGCCTCTGGCAGGGCTACAAAGAAGGCATTTCAGTGTTGGACTTCCCATTCCATTTGCATCTTCAGGGGAAGTTAATGTCCCACTCAAGTTTCTCTCAGTTAGGGTGACAGGGAGATGCAGTTCTTCAAATGCTGTCCTCAAGTAGAGAGGGAGACCACAGAGCTCCGACTGGCTTGCCAGCCCATGGAGCCATTTTTTCTTTGGTGGTGGATGCTCTCGGTGTGGCCTCTAGAGCTCCTTTCATGATCCTTTTCTCTCTGCATTCCCACTGCTCTCCCCTCGGGTGGGTCCACATCACCTCTCGCCTGGACCTCAGTCTGTCTCTTCTCTGCTAACCAGGGTGTCTTCACTTCTCTGCAGCTTTCACACGGCAGCCAGATTAATGTTCCTCAGTGCAGCTTTGATCACACCACTGTGCCCAAACAAAATCTTTCATGGCCCCCAGCTACCCAGTGATCAAAGTCCAGGGTCCTCACTCCAGCATTAAAGAGCCTCTGTATTGTGGATCCCAAATCATCACATGCCCCACCTCCATCACCCATCTGTTCCACTCCCACCTACCTCAACCTCAGTTCTAGTCCTTCAAGCTGCAGGCAGCAGCTCATTGAGAAGGTCATGAAATCAATGAAGTATGTGACGAAAGCATTTTAAAATGAAATTTATAGCAAAAGAACAAATATGTATATGGCTTTCTATATAGCAGGCTCCATTCCAAATACTTTGCATAGACTCACATACTTCTCACACTGTCCCTAGGGAAATAAGCACTCTTGCTATCCCTGTTTTACAGATAAGGACACAGACCCAGGGAGGTTAAATAAGTTGTCCAAAGTGATTAATTCTGGCTTGAACCCAGAGAGCCTTGTATCAGAAGCCACACTCTGCTATACTCCCCATGATGTACTATATGGAATAAAACTATATTCTAGATTTTGTAAAACCATATGGAACAGAATAGAAAATTTAGGGCATTCTGTATATACAATGGTAAATGTTCCATGAAGGTCTGTTGGAGATAAATATAAATGTATACACACAAGACTACAGTAGAAAATGTGTATTGTGCTGAGTACACAAGGTCAAGTGTTTGTCTTACTGTGGCTTGTGGGCAAAAACATGTGAAACCTGTTGTTCTGGCTAAAACCAAGGAACTGCCAATGATCTCTCATGCTTCTTTGCCTCTACATCTTCACCCACACTGATCCCAGCACTGGAAACATCTTTCCCCGTCGTTTCTCACCTGTATCTCTGGTCCAAACATGTCTTGTCCATGGAGTCTTTCTTAATTCTTCTCTTTATTCTGTCTTCTAAATTATAAGCTTCTTGAGGGCTTAGGTACATACATTTCACAATCAGTTCTTGCTTCCTGACAAAGAAGGAAGCATCTTCCAGGAGGCTTTTACTCCCAACCTACTTTCAACCCCCATTGGTGTGATGAGATTTCTGATATTCGTCTTCTTTCTGTGATAGTTTGGGACAATGGTTCTCAAAGTGTGGTCCCCAGACCAGCAACATCAGCATCGCCTGGGACTTGTTAGAGATGCGTATTCTCAGGCCCCATCCCAGACCTACTGAATCGGATTATCTGAGGGTGAACAACAGCAGCGTGTGCTACAACCAGCCTTCCAAGTGATTCTGATGCTTGTGCAAGTTCGAGAACCACTGGCTTAAGAAAAAGCCATTCTTATTCAATATGAGAGAAGGGTTTGTTTCATGACTCTGGGCCAGTTGGCTGCATTGTATTGCTTATGAGGACAAGGTCAGGGGATCAACTTTGTGTATCCAAGTCAGCAACATGTCACACCACACATTGAATCCCCCAACCCTAGCTTTTGTGCAATTGCAAGCTATTTAGTCCCAAAAGAACTATGGATGTCTCAGTGCCAAAGCTAACTCACCTAAATTACTACTGTCATCGCATTAATGGAGCCAGACTCACAGCCACGAGCCATCAAGCACCCTGCAGGGGACAGTAAAAGCAGAACCAGGAATGGACAAAGACATTGTTAGAAGTCAAGAGAACATGGACTTTCTAAATACCAAAGCATTTTAGAAGGTATGGCTAAAACAGATTGCAAATGATGAAAGGCAGTAAAAATCCAAGTGGGTTTAGGATGGGAAATTTCAAATTTCATAGGAAATCCAAGGTCACAGAAATAATAAACCAGAATGACCTAGGAGCTAGCACTTGATAGATTCAGGAGCATTTCCATGGACAGACATTTTATATTTGAAGAAACTCGAATCTATATTCCAAGAAGTTAAGAAACAAGATCATGCAATGAGGAAATAGCAGAATAGAATGCAAACCAACTTTTTTTACCCAGGAGTCTCAACTAAAGGTCTGCCTGCCCTGCCGAGGGCACTCCCCTCTCTGCGGTTTCTCTTCTACACTCCTGCCACACTGGCCCCAGTGCTGCCATGTCCACTCCCAGGGCTCTGCACTTACTCTTCCTTCTCTTTTAAGTATTTTTTCGCTAGCTGTTCCCAGAGCTGCACCCTCCTCATCCTTTAGGCCTCAACCCAAATGTTACTTACTCAGAGAGTTCTTCCCTGACCACCCAGCCCACACTTCTGTGACTGTACAAGTTTCCTGGGGCTGCTGAAACAAATGACTGCAAAGTTGGTGACTTAAACCACCACAACATAAGTTGGCTGGTTGTGGTGGCTCACGCCTGTAATCCCAGCACTTTGGGAGGCCCAGGCGGGCGGATCATGAGGTCAGGAGATTGAGACCATCCTGGCCAACGTGATGAAACCTCATCTCAACTAAAATACAAAAAAATTAGCCGGGTATGGTGGTGTGTGCCTATAGTCCCAGCTGCTCAGGAGGCTGAGGCAGGAGAATTGCTTGAACCCAGGAGGCAGAGATTGAAGTGAGCCAAGATCACACCACTGCATTCCAGCCTGGACAACAGAACGAGACTCCATCACAAAAACAAAACAAAACAAAACAAAACAAAAACATAAGTTTTTTCACTTACAGTTCTGGAGGCCAAAAATCCAAACTCAAGGTGTCGGCAGGGCCATGTGTCTCTGAAGGCACTAGGAGAAAACCTGCCCCATGCTCCTCTCCTAGTTTCTGGAGAGGAGCCACTCATGACATTTCTTGACTTGCGGCTGCATGACTTCCAGTGGCACCGTCCTCTCTGTGTCTGTGTTAAATATCCTTCATAAGAACACCATTCATCGGATTAGGGCACACCTTAACACCATATGGCCTCATCTTAACTTCATTACATCTGCAAAGACCTTATTTCCAAGTAAATCCACATTCATATGCATTGGGCATTAGAACTTTGACACATCCTTTTTGGGGGAGGTGGGGAACAACTCAACCCACACACAGCCACAGACATTTCCTACAATACCCTATTCTATCGTCTCCATACTGCTTCTCAGTATGTGACATTATCCTATTTATTTATAAGTGTATGTGCTCATTGCCTGCCCAACCCTTCCCCAACTAGAATAAAAGCTTCTTATAGCCGTGCACCTCTCTGTCTTGTTCACAGATGAATCTCCAGCACGTAGAAGGGGGGCCTGGAACAAAGCACTGTTTTACAAAGATTTACTAACTGCCTGAACTGTCTCTCCCACTGGGGTCTTTCATTACATGGTCCCACCTCACCAACCACAGGGATGAATACGTGACCTAAGCTGACTTATCAGAACCATTGTGAGGACAGACCCTGTGAGAGAGGGAACCATGATGTCTCCTCTGAAGTCATTGCTGTGAGGATGATGTCATAGTGTTGCCAGATAAAATACAGAATGTCCAATACTCTTTTAGCATAAATAAAGATCCCATGCGATATTTAGGACAGTGCAAATACTACTTGGGACCTCCTTCTTCTGAAAAAAGGTATTTGTTGTTTATCTGAAATTCAACTCAACAGAGCCTCCTTTACTTTTATTTGCTAAATCTGGAAACTCTATGGTGTCAGTCTCAAACTGCCAGAACCTTGTTGTCCACACAAGGAAGGAACAAAACCTCCCTGAGAATGAAGCCTTTGTAGAGGGAAGCAGAGTCAAGAGATAAAGACTAATTCCTGGTCATATTTCCTAAGCCCCTGCATCCAGCCATGCCTAAATGCTTCCTTTACCTCTGAGGCTTCTCAGTAATCTGTGTCAGTAAATCCCTCATCCATCTTATATTTTTCTCTCCTAAGCTATTTGAAACTAAGTTTTTGCTACTTGCAAATGAAGTTCTGGTGAATGTAAATCACCTTCCAATCAGTGCCAATTCTTGCCTTCATGATCTCCTAAAATCCATAATCCCTTAGTTTCCCTCCTAGTTTTTCCACTACTTTCCCCAATGATGCCCATTCCACTCTTAGTTAAGAGTAGTCTGATGTAGTCCTTTGTGTTCAGGCCAGAAAGGTCCATCTCAGCTGTCTCCCTCCAATCTGTATCATCAAGTCCATGAAGATGCAGAGGAGAGCCCCAACAAGACACAAACCCTCTCTCTTACTGATGCTGACCACCCTATAAAGCATAAATGCAATGTCTTATTATGCTAAGAGGTCCCCTTTTGATCAGGTGTGAAGAATAAAAGCAAGAAAAAAAGGGGAGAAAAAGGCAGGAAACCCTATCCTACTCTAGCCAAAATGTTTCTCCTGAGCCTCCAAAGAAACGGGGCCCATTGCAAGGTCTGGGTGCTGTGGGTTTCTTGAGCAGCAGAATCCCAACCTTTCATCCTCTTCTCCAGCTTTACTGCAGAGTCTTAAGAGCAGACCCAGTTGGTCATACAAAAGTGACAGCAAACGAGAAGGTCCACAGAGGTGAGACAGCACCCCAGATGGTATTGCCTGCAGATGACTTGTGCAGTGTTCCTGCTGTCACACATATCCCTTTGGTCCTACATAATAAATCTCCTCTTGTTGATGGGACAGACAGCTAGGATTGCTACTTTTACTTTTGGCAGATCCTGATTTGCTAAAGATTGGCCCCTCCATTCCAAGCAGAAAAGAAGGAACAGGCCAAGTACCAGGGTGCCAATCCCTTAGCATCTAGGCAGGAGAAAAGAGAGAAAACTCATATCCTTGCCAAGAGATCTGTCAAATGGCCATAGGCAGGGACATGAACCTCCATCCAAATTAAACACTCAGCCTTCTGAGCCCGGTAGTTGCCAAGCATACACTTTGTAAATCAAGACAGCATGTATTCATCCAGCAAATATTTATCAAGATCAGGCAATATGCAAACACTGTGCTAGGCACTTGGGAAAAAAATAATGAGAAAATGTAAACGTGGTTTGCTGTGGTTTGAGGGCTTATGGCCCCTCAAACATTTATGTTGAAACTTTTTTTTTTTTTGAGATGGAGTTTCGCTCTTGTTGCCCAGGACTGAGTGCAATGATGCCATCTCAGCTCATTGCAACCTCCGCCTCCTGGGTTCAAGCGATTCTCCTACCTCAGCTTCCCGAGTAGCTGGGATTACAGGCACGCACCACCACACCCAGCTAATTTTTGTATTTTTAGTAAAGACAGGGTTTCACTATGTTGGCCAGATGGTCTCAGTCTCTTGACCTTGTGATCCACCCTCCTCTGCCTCCCAAAGTGCTGGGATTACAAGTGTGAGCCACCGCACCTGGCCTATGTTGAAACTTAATTCCCAGTATGAAAGTATTAAGAGGTGAGGCTTTTAAGAAGTGAATAGGTCATGAGCACATCACAGTCATGGATTGATTAGTCACCTTATGAAAAGGCTGGAGACAGCTAGCTAGACCCCTTTTGCCCTCCTGCTCTTCTGCCATGGAAGGACATGATGTTCATCCTCTTCAGAGGACACAGCCACAGGAGTTACCTTGGGAGCAGAGAACAGCCTCTCTCCAGGCACCAAACCTGATGGCACCTTGACCTTAGATTTCCCAGCCACCAGTACTGAGAGAAATGAGTTTCTATCATTCATAAACTATCCAGTCTCCAGTATTTTGTTACTGCAACAGGAATGGAATAGACACTGTCCCTCAACCTAGCAACTTCTCTAGTTGGAAAACTAGGCATCAGCCACATAAATGCTTAAGTAAATGAAGATGTTACTGTGGTAACAGAGAGAAACAGAAAATATGAGAAAAATTACAAAGATTCAACGGACTTCATTCAATGTTCAACAAATATCTGTTGCACCTCTGCTGGGTGCCAGACATTGGTGTGGGTGCTGGGGTGACAACCTCACTTTATTCAACAAAAGTTTGGATTGAATTATTAACTGGAATTATTTACCCACCTGATGTAGAAGCTCATTTCACTCTCAGCTTGTGCAATGAATGTTCCTCCCATCAGGTTGCTGGCTTTCTGGTTATCTTCAGCCCAGAATGTATGCCTGCAATACCTATTAGTCTAAGCTCACAGAAATCAAGGGTCTGCAATCAGTCACTAGGCTCTTGGGAAAGCAGGGCACAGGCAAATGAGAACTTGAATCAGAATGGAGCAGGCCGTTATTTTGTTTTTGGACTCCATCTGTGACACTGGTAGAATTTAGAGAATTACAGAGTAGAATTGATGTAGTATCCAACTGGTTAGCATTCAGGAGCTCTACACTTTGCTGATGATTCATGAGGTGGGAAGTTGGGGTTTTAACTGTTTCATATTAGCATTTGCATCTTAAAAAATATTCCGGGCCGGGCGCGGTGGCTCACGCCTGTAATCCCAGCACTTTGGGAGGCCGAGACGGGCGGATCACGATGTCAGGAGATCGAGACCATCCTGGCTAACACGGTGAAACCCCGTCTCTACTAAAAATACAAAAAAATTAGCCGGGCATGGTGGCGCGCGCCTGTAGTCCCAGCTACACGGGAGGCTGAGGCAGGAGAATGGCGTGAACCCGGGAGGCGGAGCTTGCAGTGAGTCGAGATCGCGCCAGAGCCAAACTCCATCTCAAAAAAAAAAAAAAAAAAAAAAAAAAAATTCCTAGATTCTACAGCTTCTCTCCAAGTTTAATGGTCCTGTGAGAGTTTGACTTCAGACTCACCAACTACAGTCAGCTGAGGAAAACCCAGTGGTTATTTATTTGCCATGAAAGTGCCCTTGCTCTGCCTACAGAGCATTCTGGCTATTTGCCCCGACTCAAAATTCTCAAAAGTGTGTAAACTTAGAAAGCATTCTCCAGCTGCTCTGGACTTCAGCATCTCAGGTTTTAGTTAAGAGTCTTTCAACTGCATGTGAAACAATCCACTTTAAATTAGCTTAAAGGAAAAATGTAAAGGGGGAAGGGAAGGGGTTTATTAGGAGTATACAAGGACATCTCACAGAAGCCAAGGGAGCAGAGCCCAGAAGAGTCCCCTGAGGGTCTGGAACCGGAAATTGGAAAAGCCCACAAGAAATAAGATAACCACAACTCGATCTCCCCTGTGACCCCAACAACTCTCATCCCGGCTGAACTCTGCAGCATCTGGTTCATTCTTTTGTCTCTGAAAAAAAGCATGTCTCTTTGCTCTGTGTGCAAGATGGAAAATGGCTACTTTATAGTTCCTGCATTTCCATCCTTTCACCTTCAAGCCACATCAGAGACCAACTAGCTGCCATTTTCCTCTAAAATTCTAAAATTCTGTCACTTAGTAATTCAACCACAATTTATGAAGTGCCTACAATGTGCCAGACTCTGTCCTAAGACAGTAGAAATAACCACTCATTGAATTGGCCCCTCAAAAACCTCAACGCATCAATGTTATTAGGATCTTATGATTGGGTCCAAGACATAATATCTTTCCACACCTGTGTACTAAATAAGTTGAGAGACAAGAAGAAGAATATCAGGCCAAAATATAATGTTCATTATTAATAAAGACTAGGTTGGAAGACAAGAGTTCCATTCACAGACAGATGAGACCTCTAAGAGTTCTAATCCTAGACAGGTGAGCCCTCTAATTCTGAAATCCAGAATTTAAGCGATGTACCCTCTCAGACACCTATCCCAGCAGGGGAGAGGTTTCAAGCCCTATGCAGACTTAAGACTCACTGCCCCAAGCAGCTGCTTAGAACTCATTTACCCTAAGGGCAGTTCATGTTCAAGGAGAAACAGAAAGAGCTGAGCTGAGCATGATAACTTCACTTTTCCTATTTACCAAATAGAGAAATCACTTCACCTTTCCTAGGGCAAAGTACCTAAAGAGGCAGAGAGAGGCCAAATGTGGTAAAACTGACTGAGCTGCTTCCACATGGAAGAAAACATTAAGAATGGGAAAAGCATTTCCCATCTCCAAACAACCATATTTAATATGATTCTTTGCTTTTATCACTTAAGCTTCTTAAATCTGTCATTCAAAAGTCTGAGTTCCTTTTCTTTCTTTAATTGAGTGGACATGTTTTTCTGCTGATATTTTCAAAGGTTTGATTTTTTGGTTGTTATTATTCTAGTGGTTGTCTTTATAACTATTATTCCTTCAATACTTATTCTTCTATTCTCTAGTCCATGCCTGGCAACTCCCCACCATATTCCCTTCTTTTTCCTTACCACCATATTTTAGTGGATTATTATATGTTTAAATATTACATCTGTGACATGGTATCTTTTAACCTCTGGCTATGAAGGATTAGAAAGGCAGTGTACATAGCGACATCTTTTACCATTCTTTTCCCCCTTCTCCTTTCAGCTTTTCTTAATAAAATCATTTCTACACTGGGAGAGCTTATAAGGTTTTGTTCTGCAATCATAATCTTCAAATTTACTTTAGTCTTGGTCCCACTGTTACATGGAATTTCACACTCACCGTAAGTCTTATTTCCATACTTCCAGCTTTCATTCTGAAGTTCATCCTCTAGTGGCTTCTCAGGAAATACATTCTCTAAGCTATTGCATGCTCAAGAATATCAGTCTTCTGCCCTTATACACAAGCAACAGTTCTGCTGTGTTTTTAAAAAAGTATCATTTTTTTCTTACAGATTTTATAAGCATTGCTTCCTTGCTCTCCAGATCTGAATTGCCATGGAGAAGACTGAGAACTTTAAGTGACTTGATACTTTCCTTGGTTGCCTAAAGTATTGATCCTTACCTTTGAAGTCTAGTAAACCTAACCAATACATGTCTCAAGGTTTATCATTGTAGGCCAATGTCTCCAGGGTATGTCTGTCACTTCATATATAAATATGCATATATATATGTGTGTGTGTGTGTTTATATATAATTATTTTTCTGTTTTATTTTAAGGATATATTTTATCACCATGTTAAAACAAACTTCAAAAACAAAATAGAAATGTCCACTACATGTATGTTGTATCTTCTTTATTCATCTTCCATTGCCATCATTTTTTTTCTAATCCATTTTAATGCTCTGTCCTTGTACATTTTACTTAAATCACTTTTCTTAATCCTCTCCTCGCGGTCACTTATTATGTTTTTAGCCAAGCATTGTCTTTATTTATGTGTCTCTTCCAATAGGAAACCTCATTTTTGTGAGGGTTTTAGTTTTATTCCTTTCCTGAGTTCTGCCAGTACATATTTAAACTTTTGTTTTATTTTACCTTATTTTCTATGAACTATTGTACAGCCATTTTACACTCTGATTTTATGAAGGCAATTGTTTCATTGGGGTGTTTTTTAAAACCTAGTAATAAAATGTCTTTTAAAGTTTACTACTTTTATGATAGAATTATAAAGCCATCGAACTTTGCTTGATCTTGAAAAGATCAACGGTTCAACCACCGCCCCCTCAACACACACTCACTTACATGCAAAGAAAACATTTCCAACCTCACCACCACAAACTTCCTTGGAAATCCACATCATCCCTATATTCCTATTTATGTTAGATACCACCAGAATTCTAAGATTCTCTGCATATCATCGCTTATCATTTGGGCTCTCAATTCCACATGGCAAAATATGTTCTTTAACCACTCACCTATCTTCTTTTCTGGAAAATGTCCTCTGGAACTCATAGTCCATTATCAGCAAAATCTCTTATATTCTCAACATCTCTGAATTATCCCTTCATCTTCCTCCTCTAAGTGAAACCTGGCTACATCTAAGGACAGTTTATCTCCTACAAAGCTTTCCAAAAGTGGCTGATCTTCACCATATTCCTCTATATCATTGAACATGAAGGTATGATGTTTGTCCCTTTTGTTTATTGTTGCTTTTTTTAGACAATTTACACCCCTTCCCCCTTAAAAAAAAAACTTGGATTTGAAGATTATACTCTCAGATTGTATCACTCACTACCTCTCCTTTTTGTAGTCATCTATACAAACCTAGGCCAATCCCCTTCATCCCTCAAGGATTTTAGCCTCAAGACCATTGCAACTCCCTGCAGTAGTATTCTGAGTGATTTCAATATTCTTTTTTTTTTTTTTTTTAAGACGGAGTCTCACTTTCTCGCCCAGGCTGGAGTACAATGGCATGATCTTGACTCACTGCAACCTCTGCCTCCTGGGTTCAAGTGATTCTCTTGTCTCAGCCTCCAGAGTAGCTGGGATTACAGGCGTGTGCCAATACAACCAGCTAATTTTTGTACTTTTAGTAGAGATGGGGTTTCACTATGTTGGCTAGGCTGGTCTCAAACTCCTGACCTCAGGCAATCCACCCACCTCAGCCTCCCAAAGTGCTGGGATTACAGGCGCAAGCCACCACACCCAGCCATAATTTCAATATTCTTATGTGTGATCTTCCCAGTACCATGGTCTCCAAGGTTCTCTGTCTATTCTATTTCAGTAGTTTAATTCTCCACTTAACTTAGTTGCTCATTCTTATAATCACAGGTAGATCTTATCATCAATATTAATTGCACCCACCCCACGTTCTTGAACCCAGTTTCAGGCATCTTTAGTCTTACTTTCTTTGAGCTTTCCTGCTCATTCATTCTATTATCTCAACATCACTAATTACTTAATTTAATGAGGACTTTCAATGTACTGATTCAACCACCATTTGACTCCCACTTCACACACACACACACACGCACACACACACACACACACACACATGCTGCCTGGGTTCACCTTAAGCTTATCACCCCTAAATTCACATCAGCCCTTTAAAAGCACTCAGTAATCATAATTTCATTAGCTCTTTCATTCTCCTGCCCTCCTAGACAATAATTTTGCCTCTTCTTATTTCTCTGCAAATCTCCCACAACTCTTTCATTACCTTACTCTCAGTTTATAATGATGCTTTCTTTATTTGAAAAAATAAAAGCAATGAGAACTCCAACATACTCCTTTCACCACATACATGAAACTATCAGGTTCATTCTCATATACTGTGTTTCCTTCTGTTGCCAAAGATGAACTGCACATGTTCCCATCAAAAGCCAAATCCTTCTCCTGTACAAGGGATCCCATCTTGTCTCACCTCCACGGCACCATGGCGCATGCCTGTAATCCCAACACTTTGGAAGGCCAAGGCGGGCAGATCACTTGAGGTCAGGAGTTCAAGAACAGCCTAACCAACATGGTGAAACCCCGTCTCTATTAAAAATACAAAAATTAACTGGGCGTGGTAGCGTGCCTGTAGTCCCAGCTACTCGGGAGGCTGAAACAGGAGAATCACTTGAACCTGGGAGGCAGAGGTTGCAGTGAACCTTAATATCACCATTGCACTCCAGTTTGGGCAACAAGAGTGAAACTCCATGTTAAAAAATAGAAATTTAAAAAAAGAAAATAGTTTTCATATTTGTCTTCCCTAATTCCTACATTATCAAAATCTCTCCTATAGATAATTACTGTCAGCACACTAACCTGCTTATGCTCCTCAGTCACATCTTCCTGCAGCCACTACCCTATTACTCTGTTCCCCTTTGTAGCAAAACTCATGGTCATCAATCTTGGTTAGGCTCAGCTAACTAGTTCTTCTACTGCACTTAGTTGGGCTCACTCATGTGTCTAAGGTCTGCTGCTGGCCAGTTTGGCAGCTCTGCTTTTTGAGACCGTGAAACTCATGGGGGCACTTCTTCACCTCTCATTCTCTTTTGACCTCATCCAGCTGGTTTCCATCTCCACCAGTTTTCCACATCCCAGTAAATGTCATTTCATCCTTCAACTTGCTCGGTCAAAAAAAAAAAAAAGGATGGGGGATGGCTATGTTTTGTCTGCCTTGCCTTACATGCAGACTGTCTTCTGAATTTACGATTCGTCTATGTGAATTTTTTTATTCAGTCCTGTCTTCTCTTTAGGCCAAACTGGGCCACCAAAGCTCCTGACATCAACCACACTACCATTTCCATTGCACCATATAAGGGCTTGCTGGGTTTGCCCTCTGGGTGTGCCGGGTATTTAGAGAAATGTGTTTGGCAATATTCTCCTGATATCTGCAGCTCTGAGCATCTTTTCCCTGTGCTTCCTCATCTTATTTGATCTTCACTGCATGTGGCAGCTATTCTCTATATATTGTGGTTTAGGGTTATGGATGTCCCTTGGTTTCATCAGAAGTGGACAGCTCCTTTCTTTCCAGGTGGTCTTTGTTGCTGTGAGGGTGATCTCCAAGAGGACAAAGAAGAAATACTCTCTATATTCACTATTTTAAAACTAGAAATCACAAGAAATATGATTAGTAATTTACTTTTAAGAAGATAAATCTGACCACAGTATGTAGCAAGAGGCAGGGTATATTAGTTTATCAGGGTTCTCCAGATAAACAGAACCAATAGAACAGATGAAAGAAGAGAGAGGGGGATGTTAAAGTATTGGTTCATGTGATTACAGAGGCTGAAAAGCTCCACAATCTGCCCTCTGAAAGCAGGAGACCCACCAGTGATGTAGTTCAAAGGCCTAAGAGCTGGAGAACCAGTGGCATAGATTTCAATCCAGTGCTGGAGGCCTGAGAATAGGAGTGCTGAGAGCAAGAGAAGATTGATGTTCCAACTCAAGCAGTGAGGCAGGTGAGAATTCAGTCTTCCTCCACCTTTTAAAAAATCTATTCAGAGTTCGAGACCAGGCTGGCCAACATGGTGAAACCCTGTCTCTACTAAAAATACAAAAATTAGCTGGGCATGGTGGCAGATGGCTGTAATCCCAGCTACTCGGGTGGCTGAGGCAGGAGAATCACTTGAACCTGGGAGGTGGAGGTTGCAGTGAGCAAAGATCACGCCGTTGCACTCCAGCCTGGGCGACAGAGTGAGACTCCATCACACGCATACACACACACACACACACACACACACATACACAAATCTATTCAGGCCCTCAATGGACTGTTTCATGCCCACCCACCTTGCGGAGGGTAATCTTTACTCAGCCCACCAATTCATACGTTAATCTATCCATAAACTCCCTCACAGAAATAATGTTTTATCAACCATCTAAGCATTTCTTGGCCCAGTCAAATTGACAAATAAAATTAGCCATCACTAATTTTGGGAAAGCCATCTGGTAATAGCAGAAGATCTAAAGGAAGCTATTGGAAGTAGAGCCTGAAGAAGTCAGAGGAGAATTGAGCCAAATGGGAGCCTTCGATTCCTTTAGAGATGTGGCCACTCCAATATGCCAGTAAGGTTTCAAAGGTAGGTGACGAAAAAACTAATGCAGTTTAATTTTTTTTAAAGGCAGGGGGTGGGGGTGTATGTGAGACAGGAAATCAGAAGCTTATGAAATCATTAGAACGGCTGAAGAAATAAGTTCTAGGTAAGAAATGATTTGGAATGTCTCTAGAAGAGCATCCCAGAACTGACTCGCCAAGAGAAACTCTGCAACAGTGGGGCTGTTAGGGAGACAGAAAGCCAGTGTTCTAAGTACTGCTTCCAGGATCTCATCATGTGAGCCATAATCTAGGCATCTGGGGCCCAATGCCAAACTTATGGGTCCAGGAACGATTCTCCTTAAGGGAAGTTTGGGGTTCAGGATGCTGCCATCAGAATGTTGACCTCTAGAGCCAGAGTAAGTCCAGATCCTGGCAAAATAAACACTTGATTTATTTCCTCTGCCTCCTTCCACTTACATTGGTTGTGAACCCAAGCCTCACATGTATCTGGCTGGGATAATCTTACATCAAAAATTATACCTTCAATTGAGGAAGCAGTCTTTAGATGCCAAACTGTCAAATACAGAAAAGCACATAAGAAAAAATTTGGAGCGGGTGATGAACAAAACTACCCAAACTGCCCAGCTTTGGTCAAATTTTCTTCTCCTCCCTGCTGAGCTCACTTTATCAATCCTTTAGCTGCTATAAACACCGATTTCCTCAATCCTCTTTCCCTAACCCACAGTCCTCTCCCACAAATATCTCTGTTACTCCATATTACATATTGTCATGTTTGCTTATTATGATAGCTGTAAGTATTGTTAGCCCCCATTTTGTGAATGAGGGTACTGAGGTCCAAAAAAGTGAAATAATGTGTCCAAGGTCACCCCGCCAGTTAATGATGGAATTGAGACTTAACCTCATGATCTGACTCTAAATCTCATTTTCTTTCTTCTACCTTTTAAGTCAATGAACGTCTATGACTATGTCTCCTTCTAAACTGAGAAGAAAACCCAAAACCAGCCTCTCCTGGGCAAGCAAAATAAATGGGTTTCTTCATCATTCTTTCTTTCTGAGGCCTCTTTAGGCTGAACCCCTCAGTGCTCATGCCCAGATGGTTAATGTTGCTGCCAGCCAGGCTGAGGGCTATACATAACATTACTCTCTTCTTAAGGGGCTGCCATCTTACATTGTATTTTGCCTGTATGGACCATCAATCAAGTTTTCCCTCACTAGAAAAAGTTATTGATGACCACTTGCTCCTGAATATCTAAAAAGAACCTTCTGGTCTTTCCAAGCCACAGGCCTTATTCAGTCAGTAAGCACTGATTAGAGCCTTTCCTGGTCCCAACCTTTCCTGATAACCGTAACTTTCTTCTATGAACCTCATCAAGTTAAACTTCTCGTTATTCCTGAACATACCCCTGGTTTCATGCCTTTGCTGATACTAGTCTCTCAGCCTGGATTTTTATTTTCCTTTTCAATGGCTAAGAATCTAGTTCTTAATCCATCTTGCAAGATTTAATCCCTCCCTTTTCCACAATATTTCCCTGGAACTCTATAACAGTTAGAATTGAATTCTTCTACTTTTGAACTATTTTGACATTTCTATGTATGTCTCTCTTACAATACCCCTGAATTTCTACTTGTTATTAAATAAACAGGATGTAAGTTGAATTGCCGGCTGCAAATGTTTTATCTCCCTTTGGTAATTAATGTTATATAACCACACTTTTGGCATAGCCAGGAGAACTCCACTTTGGGCTTGAATAGGTGACTTGCTTTGGCCAATAGGATTGTTAGAGAATGTATGATAACAAGAGGCTTGAAGTGCACTTGCATAGTTGGGCCTGGCCTTTTGCATTTCTGCTCTTTGCCAGGAGAATGTCCTGAGGACAGATGTTGGTCCAAGGAAGACAAGAGGCACATGAGAGTATCTGCATCCAAACTATAGCATAGAACCAAGCCTAGCCTAATCTAGATTAGCCAAACCCCACCCAATTCAACATATATGTGAGCAAAATACGCAGCAGTAACTGACTGAAATACCCATCAGTGCAATTTTATCTCTTTTACTAGATTGTGTATTCCAAGAAGGCAAGTTTCTATCTTACTCTTTCTACAGCTTTGTAACAACATCTAAACATTATAGGAAGCTTACTATCCATCATGTGAAAAAACTGAGGGCCAGCAAGGTTTAATAAGTTATCTCAGGAAAATGCAAATCAAAACCACAATGGGATCACCTCACACCTGTTAGGATGACCAGTATTAAAAAAAAAAAAAAAAAAAAAAGATAACAAGCATTGGCAAGGGTGTGGAGAAAAGGGAACTCTTGTACACTGTTGTTGGAAATGCAGATTGGTGCAGCTATAATAAAAAACAATATAGAGGTTCCTAAAGACATATCATATGACCCATTAATCCTCCTTCTGGGTATAAAGCCCACAGAAATGAAATCGCCATCTTGTCAAGATGTCTGCACTCTAATGTTCATTGCAGCATTATTCACAATAGCCAAGATATGGAAACCATCTAAGTGTTAACAGATGAATGAATAAAGAAAATGTGGTATACACACACACACACACACACACACACACACACACACACACAATGGAATATTATTCAGCCTTTAAAAGGAAGGAAATCCTGCCACTTTAAACAACATGAATGAAACGATTATGCCTAGTAAAACAAGCTAGATAGAAAGAAAAATGTCACGATCTCAACTACTTGTGGAATCTTACCAAAAAAAAAAAAAAAGAAATAGATACACAGAAACAGAGTAGAGGTCAAGCATGGTGGCTCATGCCTGTAATTCCAACACCTTGGGAATCAGAGGTGGGAGGATCACTTGAAGCCAGTAGTTCAAAACCAGCCTGGGCAACACAGTGAGACTTCATCTCTACAGAGGAAGAAGGAGAAGGAGAAGGAGGAGGAGGAGGGAGGGGGAGGAGGAGGGAGGAGGGAGGAGAAGGAGGGAGGGGGATAAGGAGGAGGAAGGGGGAGAGGGAGAGGAAGGAAGGAAGGAAGGAAAGAAGGAAGGGAGGGAGGGAGGGAAGGAAGGGAAGCAGGGAAGGAGGTAAGGAGGAAAGGAAGGAAGGGTAGAAAAGTGGTTGCAGAGGCAGGGGAGATTGGGGATACCTAAGCCAAAGAGTGAAAAGTAGCAGTCACATAGGATGAATAAGTCTAGCGATCTAGTGAGGACTGTAGTTAATATTGTATTCTACACTGGATATTTGCAAAGAGAGGAGATTTTAGGTACTCTTAGCACAAAGAAAGTAACTATGTGAGATTATTTACATCTTAATTTACTCCACTGCAGTAATCACTTCACTATGTGTGTGTAGGTGTGTAAGTATGTGTGTGTGTGTCATTTTGTACAGCTTAAATATATACAATAAAAATTACAGTGGTTATCAAAACTGCAATTGTTGAAAATTTTAATCGTCATTAATAAAATAGTAAATTAAAAATAAAGCATGATGTTTGTAAATAATAAATTCTCATTATTTTTAAAATTTGGTTTTATAATTTGTCTGTTAAATTTAATAACTGAATCACAATTAAATTAATGTAAAAATTTAATATTTTTCCCAGATGCAAGCTCTAGGTATAAAAAATATTGCATTGTAATTTGAGTATATCAAGTTAAACTTAATTTTTAAATTTCAAGGTATGCAAACAAAAACATGAGGAATCTGGGGAGAAAATTATTTTAAAACAAAAAATAGATTAAGTAAATGAAGGAGGGAGGGAGAGGTGGAAGGAGGAGGGAGGAGAAGGAGGGAGGGGGATACCATAAAAAATAAGTTATCTAAAGTTACATAATGACGTCGTAACAGAGATGGGGTTCAAATTCAGGCAGCCTGACTCTAGAGGCTTGATGCAATACATCTATCTAAATAAAGGATGTTCAAGAAAATATTTGAGGATGGGAAGGAGAAAGGGACAGAGAAAGGAAGAGCGGAAATACAATAATTTTTTGTTGTATTTTTAAAGAATATTTCTATATTTGCTACTGAGTTTTTTAAAGCATAACTGTCATTATAATTTATACCCTTAAAGATGATGCTTATCATTAGACTGTCCAGGAATTTTTTTTTTTCTGTACCAGCTCCTGACTACCCTTTTTTTTTTTTGACGGAGTCTCGCTCTGTGGGCAGGTTGGAATGCAGTGGCGCGATCTCAGCTCACCACAACATCTGCCTCCTGGGTTCAAGCGATTCTCCTGCCTCAGCCTCCCAAGTAGCTGGGACTACAGGCACATGCCACCACACCCAGCTAATGCACCTGACTATCTTTTAGGGAGCACTTTGACCCACATACCTTGGAGAGGTATTCTCCTGGTAAGACCCTCCCACTGCAGAGCTTCTCTCTAGATACAGAGTCTCCTTCCTCCTACAATAGTATAGCCAAGGGCAGGGCTTGTGACCCGAGCTGACCAACTGGCTGCTCTCTCCAGGACTCAGGTGAGTGATGGAAAGAGGAGATACAATCAATCATCACAGAAATAGTGTGCATGCCAGACTCACTTCATGGGAACCATGGTTGGGGCTCCTGCTGTGAGCTCCCGAGCTCCCCCAGCTCCTCCCAATTTCCCTGCCCAGTCCCCCAGCCTCCCTTAGATCTGTGGATTCTCCATATTCTTCCAGTAAATACCCTTTCACTTTAGAAATCCAGCCTTGGCTTCTGTTGCTTGCAACCCACAACCCTGATTGGTTTCATTTCTTTTTCCCAAAACAATCTCTATAGTTTATGAAACTGGATGCTCCATTGGCCTGAACTCAAGAAAAGGCCATGAGAAAGGCTGAATGACCTAGGTTCTAAAAGAAGCAAGTTCATAGGCAAACTTGCTTGTGAGTTGCTCTTTTGCTACTGTGGTCAGCACGACATTAGCTCTGGGCCCAATACCCCAGGGTCTGAATACATCCCATGAATACATGAGATGACAATCAACATGATCTATTTAACATCTTCTGTCACTGATCACAGAATGTTAAAACTAGACAGAATCTTAAAGAACATCTAGTCCACCTCCCTTGTTGAACAAATGAAAATAAATGAGGACCTGTCCAGCATTGAAAACTAAGCGGCAGAGCTGAGACTATCTTGTGAGCCTCTTGATCCCCATCCGGGTCCCTTTTTGCCCCACCACCTGCTGTGCATCTGCCAGAATGTTTTGCTCTTGAATGTTTTGTTCAAATACTGAAAAAGTAGTGTTGTGACTAAGAGCACAGTTTGCGGGGACAGACCACTGGGCTCATATCTCAGGTACGCCATTTACCTACTCTCTGGAAGAATCACTTGCCTGTCTGCACCTCAGTTTACTAATCTGTCAAATCGGGATAATGAGAGTATGTACCCCATAAGATTGTTATGAGTAATAAGTACCATAAATAGCTGAGTACTGCACATATAGCAAGCACCCAATGAATATTAGAAATATTTGTGATTACTCATAAAATAATTGATCTGGAATATCAAGTATTCTTTATTTGGGCAAAGAGAAAATAAGGTGCAAAGATAAAGGGACCTGACCAAGGTCATATTGTTCCCACAAACCCTGACTAAAGATTGTGTGCCCCCCACAAATTCATAGGTTGAAATCTAACCCCAATTGTGATAGTATTTGGAGGTGGGGTCTTTGGGAAGTGAAAACAACTTTGGTATGTGATCAGGTCATGAGGATGGAGCCCTCACGAACGGGGTTAATGCTGTTATAGAAGAGACCCCATAGAGCTCCCTTGGCCCTTCCACCATGTGAGGACACAGTGAAAAGATAGCCATCTGTGAACCAAGAAGTGGACCATTACCAGACGCTGAATCTGCTGGTGACTTGGTTTTGGACTTCTCAGCCTCCAGAACTGTGAGAAAGAAGTGTTTGTTGTTCAAGCTGCTTAGTCTGTGGTATTTTTCTTATAGCAGCCCAAATGGACTAAGATACCATGCATGTCCCATCCAAGCCTAGAACACTTTCAGGAGCAATTGACAGAAAATCTCAGTCTAACAAAATAATTATTGACTTCTGTAACTGAAAAGGATGCTTGCTGATTTGAGTCATGTTGGGTCCAATTCCTTACATAATTACCTCTCTGTCTCTGTCTGTCTTTCTCTCTCCTTCTACCCCCTTCCCATTTCTTGGCTTTATTTCCCACTGAGCTGGCTTCACCCTTAAATCCTTCACTCATGGAGATTCTTGCATCCCCAAGCTTAAATTATCTTTATAGATAATGATCCCTGTGGAAAAAAAAAAGAGCTATGGTTTTTTATTATCCCTGAAAAGTTCTGGAATTCATGCCAATTGGGCTAATTAAAGTGAGGTGTTCAAGCATGAACCAATCATGCTGACCAGGGGCACTTCAGTGACTGGCCAAGCCTGACTCATGTGCTCATTGCTGGATCTGGGTAGGATGGGGCCACTCCCACTTACATCACATAGACAGGGTGTAGGAAATGGAGCCAATGCCAGAAGAAGAGAGGATGGAAGATGTGTACTGGCAAATGCAGCCACCATTGGAAGCCTTACCTTTTGAATCTTCTCCATTTTGGAAAGACCCCAAAGGTACCCTGTTTACCATCAATTCTCTTCCCCTTTTGCTTTCTCCTTTCTATTCCTCAGTCTGCTTACATTGCCTCCTTAGGACTTAAAACTCTTAACTCCTCTGTAGATTCCTACGGGATCTCTAGTCCCAAATATGAACTCCAGCCACTAAGTACAACTCCCTGCACCAAATACAAATGTGGTAACCAATAAGCACAGTTATGCTCAAAGCAGGTCTGGAGACTTAGCAAAGAGGGTAACTTACTTTTCTTTAGCACCTCAGGTCCCTTCTGGGTCAGAGACTGCTGGCTCCAGCACTGGCCTCACACCCCAGCAGCTGGGATCCTCTAAAGATGAAACAGTGGGGGCTCAGATGTTCTAAGAGCCAGCATAGCTTTGAACACTGCAGGGAAAAGACAGAGTCATGCTCTCCTACTGAGAATAGCATTTTTAGAGCAAGCACTGCTACTTGCTTATTCAGAAGGCTTAGGGCCATGGGAAGAGGCATATGCTTTGGAGGTGCACATTCTAATAACAGGTCTGCTGGTCTGTAGTCAGGTGACCTTAGGGAGGGCTCCTAGCCTCTAAGAAGTCCCAGTATTCTAGTCTGTAAAATAGGAGCATGATACCTACCTTCCAGGGGTAATGGTGATGTAAGCATTAAATGATAAAAATGCATGTGTTGACCTCTAGAGGTTACTCAACATGCTTTGGTTGCTACCTGCTTTCCTCCCCACCCCACTTTCCCCAGCATACATATGTATGCTCTTTAGGGGTGAGTCAGGATCTAGGAAAAATATCTCCACCCCCTTCAAAAGGAGAGGTGCCAAGCTGGTGAATTAGATTCCAATGCACAATTGGACTATGCATTCTAAGGTATAGATGAACCAGGTCTCTGCTCCTCTTTATATCTTTAGGGTAAGGGCTGGGACTGCCTCTGAATTCGAGGCTCTCAATCCAGTTCTCTCTCTCCTAATGTCTACGGGTCCCGGTTAGAAAGACTAAGTCTGGCAGTTCCAGGCATTGTAGCTGATGGTTTTCTTCTGTTCCCCAACTTTATATTCTCCACAGCTGGAGAGAAGCCTCATCTCATTGCAGTGGCATGTTCTGATGCTCTGGTCTGAGCTTAAGAGACATAGCATTTTGCTGCTCCAGTTTTGGTTGCTAAGCTGTCTTTACAGAAAGAAACAGAAGCTTCTGCTTCAAGGGTTGGCCCTTGGGTCAAACAGGGCCCAACATGGGTATTTGGAAATAAAGTTTCACTGGAACACTGCCATACCCATTCATTTACAAATTGTCTACTATGGATACTTCTCTGCTCCAGTGGCAGAGTCAAGTATAATATCTGCAGGAGACCATATGGCCTGCAAGACCACAAATATTTATTATATTTTCCTTTACTGAAAAATTTTGCTGGCCCCTGACTTATATAACCCAGCCCACCCTACTAGACTTCAACTTTAGGGTTTAGGACCAAGCCCCACCAACTAATAAACATCACTTTTCTTTCTTTCCTTGATCATATCACTCTCCTTATAAGATTATGTAATTGGCCTTAGACAGGATTTGGACATATCTAGGTCTCCAGGCTATAGGGTCTAAATTTATCATCACTTTCAATAATATTAAAATGCTTACTACTTTATTTTCACCAAAATTGACAGTTGTTATTATTTTATTCATTCACAGATTCATGGTAATGGGAGCGAGGGGCTTTCTAGCATGAATGTAGCCCGTTGTACGATCTGGAGAATCTCACGTGGCTGAGTTCAGTAGCAGCTCTTCTACTTGGTAGCTATGTGACATTGGGCAAAAACTTAGCCTTTCTTGGCCTCAGTGTTCTCTTCCATAACGTAGAGATGAATGGGAATGGACTTCCAAGTCATTATAAAGATATGTGATATGAAATTACAGATGCCATGCAATTAGCACAGTGCTTGGCATATTATAGATACTAATTATAAAATTATAAGTCATTTACCCTTTACTCTAATTACCCTTCTGGTAATATGATGACACCTATCTTTTTTGTTTGTTTGTTTGTTTGTTTTGAGACGGAATCCTGCTCTGTAGCCCAGGCTAGAGTGCAGTGGTACAATCTCAGCTCACTGCAACCTCCACCTCCCAGGTCCCGGTTCAAGCAATTCTCCTCCCTCAGCCTCCTGAGTAGCTGGGATTACAGGCATGCATCACCATGCCCAGCTAATTTTTGTATTTTTAGTAGAGATGGAGTTTCACCATGTTGGCCATGCTGGTCTTGAACTCCTGACCTCATGATCTGCCTACCCTGGCCTCCCAATTATGTGATTGAATCTTCAGCCCAGTTCCATGAAATGGCCACTGCTAAATGTATGTCCTGCCCAGACGGTGCCCAGGGCCCAGAGCCTTCCTTTTGCTCCACTATCACAACGTGTTTGCCAGTATCCTGTCTACTCAGGGCTGTGCTCTCTCATACCAGCCAATAGGATTTTCCGAGAGGCATTTTTTGTATCTCCATGATGACATTCATCCCATCCAGCTTTATGGTTAGGGGGAAAGAGTGCTAGACTTGCAGCCATGCAGTCTTGACTCTGCTAAGTACTGGCTGTGTGACTTTGAGCATCTCACTGCCTCTCTGCCTGTTTTCTTTAGTGAGATGGGGATAATAATACTTTCCTCGTTAAAGTATTGTGAGAATCCAGTGATGGTTATGGCATAAACCCGTATACATATGGGACATTATTTGATACATATTTATGAAAGTGTTTTCTACAAATTTCTCTACTTCTCCTACTACACATAGAATTCCTTAAAGGCAATATATCATTGCATCAATGTATCATTCATTTGAAGGCCCACAATTTCTAGCACAGAAAAGATATCTGATTCATCAAATGATTAAGGTGGATTGATGGGGATTCTCTTATAAAATATATTTTAATTTATTTTACTTACAGGGCGAGGAATTTTTCTAATTCATTTCTGCATCCTTATGTCTAGTAGCTATCCAGTAAATATTTTCTAGAAAATAAATGAATAATAGAAAAGTCATATCTTTCTTCTCTCTATTCTTTCTCTTCATTCTCTCTTCCTCGTACATGCATTGGTCATCTAAACTCCAAGCCCCTGGTCTACGCAACTTATTTCATACACTAAGAAAGTACGTAATATATACTGCATAATAAAGAGGCAGTACAGTGTAGTTGTTATGATCATGGGCCCTGAACTAAGACTACATGGGTTTAAATTCCAAAACACTGCTAATTAACTGTGTGACCTTGGACTGGTTAGTAAACATCTTTAAGATTCAATCTCTTCACCTATAAAGTAAAAATAAAAGGAATTATCTCACAGAGCTTTTGTGAGAAGTATATAAAGCACTTAGAACAGTGTCTGTATATAACATGTCATAAGTTAAATGGTATCCCTCCAAAAAGTTATATGAACCTAACCCCAAGTATCTGTGGATATGACTTTATTTGGAAATAAGGTCTTTGCAGATGTATTCAAATTAAAATGAAGTCATTGGGGTAGGCCCTAATCTAATATGACTGATGACCATATAAGAAAGAGAACTTTGGGAATATATACATACATAGGGAAGACAATATGAAGACACAGGAGAACACCGTGTGAGCCGATTGGGAGGGAAAGGTTGGAGCATCTGCAATGAACCAAGGAGTACCATGGATTGTTGTCAAACACCAGAAGCCAAGGAGCAAGGAAAGAGCCTTCTTCAGAGCCTCCAGAAAGAGAGCACAGTCCTGTTGACTCTTCGATTCAGACTTTTAGCTTCCAGAGTCATAAGACAATACGTTTCTGTTGTGTTAAGCCACCCAATTGTGGTACCTTGCTATAGCAACCTTAGGAAACTAAGACAATTACCTATCATTACTATTGTGTGGTTTAAATGCTCATTGAATACAAGAATAAATTCATGCATTTCTTATGGAAGGACACCCTCTTTCGGTTTCCAGCATTTTGGGGGAAACAATAATATAAAGAGAATTCAGAGAGTGAACCGGTTTGCAGAATCTTAGGAGATTTTATTGGAACCTTTCTTCTCATGACATCATGGAAACAAGGCCATGAATATCTCCAGCCTGATTCACTAGGTGAATTTTAACTGAGGCTTACACAAGTCACAAAAAAATTCTGCTTTTTCTCTGACACTTTAGAGTCCTCCTACAGTTTCACCCCCAACACCCATCACCGTAATAAGCTATATCCCATGACAAACAACAAGCACATCATACAGAGAGATGAGAAGAGCCAGCCAGGCAGTGCAGCCTCTGTCCCATTTCAGAAGTGCTTGTCATCAGAGGTCACATCCTACCTGGTTTACTCTCTGCATTTGGTTCTCTTTCCCAGGAGCTCTGAAAGGGTTTCACTTGGAATCAGACTTCAGTCAAAATCTTTTCATCAAGTATATGACCTAGAAACTTCCTTCTCATCTTAGGGTATTTTTCCGTCATACTTCCTCCACGAAGGTAAGTATCTTCGTGGACTGATGCATACGCATAGTGGATACACTTGGCTGCTTCCCTTTGCATCTCCTCCTCCCTAACTGAACAGTAGTTGTGTTCAGCGACCGGCCCCTCCTCTACAAGACAAGGGCAATGGGAAACCCAGCCCTCTGAGTTCAGAAATTGATCCTAATTGGTCTAAGTGTGGTCTCAGTTCCCTGGCCAGGGGTTGCTTCAGAAATGGGCACTACCCAATTCAGGCATATAAAACAGGAGGGGAATTCTGCAGGTGCGCTAGTGAAAAAAAAATCTTCATTTCCAATCAAAGATGGGGAATACCGGGAGGGGGAGTATAGAGACAGGATTTAAAAAAAAAAGAGCACATGAATGAGCAAAGAGGGCAAGTAGTCTCATTTCTCTAGACACCACTGGATCTGGATATGACACCTCCAGCCTAAAGATGAAGACAACCCTGGGGATGGCAGAGAGATTGAGAAGAAGCCTGGATCCTTGATGAAAATGCTGACCAATAAATCAACAAATTTTAGAGCCTGATGTGTTTGGTGTTATTGTCTACTATATGAGCTAATAAATCTTCTGTATTATTTAAGTCAGTTTGAATCAGGGTCTGTTACTAGCAAAATAAAAGCATATCAATACATAAAATATAATTTTAAAACAAAGCTACAATATAAAAAATAAAGCTTGTTAGCTCACCTTTTCACTTAGAAGAACATTTTCCTATGTCAGTAGATAATTTTATACATTTAATTTTATAGGTACATTATAATATTTTGAAAGTGCATCATAATTTACTTAACTTTTCACATATTTTGAGTAATTCAGTTATTTCCATTTTTCACTATTATAACTAACATTGAGGTCAACAACTATAAACAATTATATTTAGATCCTTAAGATAGATTAGAGAAATAGAATTACTTATTTGAAAAAAATCTTTTTGAAGGTTCTTGATATTGCTTTCTAAAAAACTAAATCAATTTATACCCCTATTAGCAGGTTATGAGAGAACCTATCTCACCACAACATAAATCATATGCAATTTAAGATAAAAGAATAGTGTTCTCATCTTCATTGAAATGTCTTGATTACTAGTGATGCTATGTTTCTTTTTGTTTCACTGGCTACATATATTTTTCTTCAACGAATTGCCCATTCATGGTTCTACTAATTTTTAAATTGAGGTTTTCTTTATATTTCCTGGCAGAGTTGTAGGATTCTAGGACTGAGATTTGCCTAATATACGCAATAAACTTTACATTTATAATTTACTTTAATCATCAAAATAATTTAGCTTGGTAGGTTTGATTAAGTTCATCTTACAGAAGAGAAGATGAGGCTGAGAGGCTAACTTCATAGTAGTCATCTATGTGTTTCAAGTTCCAGTACAGATGCACACACAAATATCAATTTGACATTTGACATTTGGAGTGACTTAGATATCCTCTAACCTCTGCTCTTTTTCCTGCAGGTGAGCCTTTATATGAAGTATCATCTGGTTCTCTATGCAAAAGAGATACTGGCAATTCATTTTAGAAAAATATAAGGATGTAATTTTTCCGCTAGATGTGTTTCCTATTCATTTGATGACACATATAACCTCAACTCCCTGAGAGTGCCCTATTTATCACCATCAGAATGCCCCCTGAAGTGGCAACTACAGCAGTAAATCCAGATGTTCCTAATGTATGAAATCCAGCCAATAACTGACTGTACCACCTGCTCCTTGCTTGTTAGCAATTGCAGGGATAATTGCATCCCAAGCTTGAATTGTCAGACAATACAAGCAGTAATGGGACACTTTGAGCTCCCATTTTGGTAGAAATTATACACGTAATCCAAAGGAAGAAATCAGTGGGGTTTCTAAAGTTTGGTAACTATAGAGCAGAAGTTTTGAAACTTTATGTAAGAACCGCCAGGGAAAATTTTTTAAACCTCAGACTCAGACCTTACCCAGTACCAACTAAATTAGACTCTCCAGGGGTGGGATCCAGGCATCAGTATTTTCAAAAACTCCCCAAGTGATTCCAATGTGCAACCAAGTTTGAGCACTAGCACTATAGAATCACATCTCTAATTTCCTGTCTTGAAAAGAAACCCCTTATACTTGAGCTCCTGGAAGGCTCCAGGAGAGAGACAGAAGAAAGGAAGTGTTCTGGGAGAGCCTGGTAAGTTGTTAAGACCACGCTGGGGCTGTATTCCCACTGCATGCCTCAGCTCGAGGATGTCTTCTCACTGAAGATGTCTCTGCACTGCCAAGTTCATTGCAGAATTTTCACAACAGCCAAGATATGAAAACAAACTGTCCACACATAAATGAATAAGGAAATTGTGGTGCGCATACATATATATTATATGTGTGTGTGTATTTCTATATACATATAACAAAATATTATTCAGCCTTATAGAAGAAGGAAATTCTGCCATTTGCAACAACATGGTGTAGGGTAAATGCCCCTGATAGCAATAACTTAAGCATAACCTTAGAATGACCGTGTATGGCAGACACACCTGAGTGTGTATTTTGAGCTAGGGAATCCAGAAGGGCCAACCGGGAGATTCATTCCTTGTCCTGAGAAACATCTAAGTCCCCATCCCATCCTGTAGAACACGGGGTGTACAGGGGATTAAGGCCCTAAGTTTTGAGTTAAGTGAAAGTTGCCAACTGGAGGTTGTTAAGAGAAGGTTGTTAAGTGAAAATGCTCTGTAAACTGCATGCTATTAGCAAGCGGTTGCAGGTTTCCTGCACAGCCCACCACCACTGAGTCCTGCGGTTGTCTTCTCCTGCCCACCTCAAAGGGACTGTGGGAAGTTGGCTATGTTGTCCAGCCCATCACTACTGGACTGTAGGAAGGTGGATATGTGGTTGTGTCTGCTGCCACTGGACTGTACATAAGGCAGATACATTGTCCAGCCCGCCACCACTGGACCATAGATAAGAGGATTATGTTGTCCAACCTGCTGCCACTGAACCATAGGAAGGCAGATATGTTGCCCAGCCCACTGCCACTGGACTGTAGGAAGGCTAATGTGTTGTCCAGTCTGTTCCCACTGGACTGTATTTAAGGCAGATATGTTGTCCAGCCTGCCACCACTGGACCATAGGTAAGGTGATTATGTTGTCCAGCCCACTGCCACTGGACTGTAGGAAGGCAAATACGTTGTCCAGCGTGCCACCGCTGGACTATTTTTGTATGAAGGCAGTTCTCCTGTCCAGCCTGCCACCACTGGACTCTCTCCTGCAGGAGGAGTAAGCTCCTGATAAAACTCCACGTCTAGTTTGCTATAATAGCTCTGGGTCTCTTCTTTGACCTCTTGAACCTGGCTCCTTCCCTGTGCAGGCTCATAGCAGTTTTGCACAATGCATGGATGAAACTGGAGATTATGCAAAGTGAAATGAGCCAGACACAGAAAAACAAATACTGCATGATCTCACTTTTATGTGGAATATTTAAAAAAAGAAAGTCAAACTCATAAAGCATGGAGTAGAATGGTAGTTACCAGGGGCTGGAGTGGGGGATAATGAAAAGGAGAGATATTGGTCAAAGGGTACAAATCTTCAGTTATGCAAGGAATAAGTTCTAGAGACTTAATGTACAGCATGGAATCTATAGATAATAATACCGATTTTATACTTAAAATTTGCTAAAAGAGTAGATCTCAAGTGTTGTCACTGTCACAGAAACAAATAGTAACTACACGAGGTGATGGATATGCTAATTTGCTTGATTGGGGTAATCATTTCACAATGTATACATACATCAAGACATCACTATGTGCTCCATAAATATATGCAATTTTTATTTGTCAATCTTACCTCAATAAAGCTGGAGGGAACTAAAACAAAAATAAAGGCATATGCAGTTTTTTAAACAAAGTAAGATACATCCTCTTTCTTAGGTAACAAATGTTGAGATTTTCCCATCAAGCCTTTGGACAAACTCATGCATTGAAAAAGTCAGCCCATCATCTCAAGAGAAGGTTATGGGTCAAATGTTGAAGTAGGTTCTTGGCTTCCGACCAAGTCATAGTTAGGAGATGAGGCTTATTTTCTTTCTTTAAAATCTGTCTTGGGACCATGAAATGGAAACCAAGCTTGAAGGTGAGGAGGGCCCAGGGTCCCTCCTCCATGAGCTTGAGAATGCTATGAGCACTCCCCAAACTCAGTGCTTGTGTCTAGTCCTTCTGAGGGATACGGTCTCCCCGGGATTGAGGAAAACCACGGGAAAGTGTGCCCTCCCTCCATCAAACCAACCAAAGAGAAAAGAGCAAACACACTGAAGTAGCTACCACCTGCCTCCAAACATGGTGAACTCCCATTCATTCTTGCCCCCCTTGGCTCCCATCCTCCTCCACACTGAGCTTTTCCTGCTGCTAGTTAAATGGAAGCCATTTAGGCACAAATGTGCTTCCACGTTACTGTTGTCCCAGAAAAATCTTTCTCTCACATGATCACAAATCAAACTATTACTTTATCTTCCAGTAAACTCTGTATCTATGGCCATGTGATTCCTAGTCTCTTTTTCTTATCACTGAATGCAACTAGGCTCCAAAAGCTCTCTGGTGCAGAGCAGGCACTACAGTTCCCAATTTACACGTGGAAGAGTCCAGAGGCACGCCTGGGGTCCCAAAGCTACTCAGTGGATGAGCTGAGACATATTGAGATACAGCTGTGGCCAAAAAGCTAGACAGTAGCTCAAGGACAGGCAGAAAGCAGATAGATGTTCAGAGATTCAAAGAAAGAGAAAGGCATGGAGATTCTGAGGGACACAGAGACAGACACAGGAGAGAAAGATTCAGCGTAAAGACTAGAATGGCCTTTATTCAGAGTAAAGAACCTGAAGGCAGGTCTGAGCATCAAAACCCATTGATAGCATGCTGTTGGGCCATTTCCACCTCTCAGTTTCCCCCTGTGCAACTGCTGGGACTAGATCAAGGATGATGAATAAGTTTCATTTTGTGTGCCAACTCCAATCTGTCAGTAGTCACTTAAGCACTGTATTGAAAGGATCTGAGGCTACACCTGGGCTTATAGAGAAAGACTATAGTGATGGATTAGCAATGTCTGCCATTGATGTGGGCGAGGAGAATTACAACACACATGCCAGGTGTTGTCTGTCTCTGAAGTAGATTGCCTCTAAATTCAAATTTCAGCTCTGACATTCAATGATTCCATGCCACCATGACAAAAATGCAAGATCTTTTCACTAGACCAAGTTTTTCTCTAAAATTGCGGCTATTACCTGTCATCACTGGGTATGAAGAAAAAATATATACTACAAGGAATATTTAAAGAGGGAACATTTGTGGTTTTTCTTCTTTTCTCCCAGAGCTTCTAGAAATATGAACATTTTAGAGAGCTGGAGGCTGTTTTTTGCATCCCTTGGAGAGATGGAAGAAGGCAGACAGCTGGAAAAATTTAGGACAGTTGTAAATTATTTAGGACCCTTTGCTTTACTTGTATTTTCCAAAAGAACACAGGCACCAAGCTTTCAGCTGCATTCACCCTGCTCACTCAATAAGAAATATGGAAGCTTAGGCTGTGAAAATGAAATAACCACAGCGTGTGCTCGGAAACATCTGAAAGCTGGAGTTTCATGATTTGTGTTTTACAGTACAGGTAATCTGTCCTCCAGGAGCTGAAATCTATGAAGGAAGAGGGATGGTTGGCGAGGAGTTCAGACTCATGTTGTTTAGAGGATGGTGGTCTTTGGAAACAGAATTCTCCAGCCTGGAGTTTGGTACAAGTTTGCCTCTAGGGCTCTCACTCTCCTACAGTTTATAACAGAGGCAACTCTACAATGAGATGCTCTGGGCTGAAATATTTAGATTTTAAATATTTCAGAAATCTGCTCATTTCTTTCTGCCTCTTTCTGTTCTGGATGAAGTCCTCATCATTTTTCACCCAGATTCCTCCTAAGGTCTCTTATCTCCTTTCTTTATCTTTTCTTTGACTTTCTGTCCTATCAGCATCACTGCAGTCAGAGTGATCTTTTCAAAATGTACACCTAAGTGTTGCTCCTGCTTAAAATTTCTCAAGGACTCCTTCTACCTCCAGATAAAATCCAAGGTGCTGAAAACATCCTGAGAGATCTGACCCCTACCTATGACTTTAGACCCACACTTAATATGCTGCT